>NC_000003.12:86979696-87282727 GCF_000001405.40 Homo sapiens
TTACTTGCCAAAAGTCACAAATCATGTAAGCTGCAGAGTCAGAATGCATAAGAAAAACATACAGGTATAGACATGTGTGTGCATATATATGTTCTGAGGAATGGCAGGGAGGGATATCTAGCATATAGATATGCGTGTGCATACATTTGGTGGGGAAAGGCAGGGAGGGATATCTAGAGTAAAAAAATTACAAAAATGTATTTTGTATTGTTTTTCTGTGTAATACGTTTATAGTTAATTGTCATTTTCTTATTTCTGCTTTTCAGTATTTCCAAACATTTTTCACTGAGCACATATTCCATTTATTATCAACTTCAATGCGAATTACATATAAGGAGATAATGCTAAAGATATGAAATGTATTATTCTAGTGACGAAATGAGCTTTCTCTGTCATCTTTATGTCTGCAAAACCTGATCCTTGATCATACCTTTTTTTTTTTTTTACTTTGAAAAAAACGCATGCTGGAAAATGAATGTGAGTAGAAATAGATAAATCACTCCAGAATACCCAGTAATTTTTCAAATGTTAGCAAAATACATACCCCAGACTCTATATTTCTAATGTAATTACTAGCTTCAATATCTATAGCTTCAAATTATAAATGCACCATTCAATAAATTGGTCCCTTTCCCCTAGCAGTGAATATGTTGTTCTTGTATAAGGTGAGTACTGAAATATTCAGAAATACTATGAACTTCTAGTTATCGTTTCAGGATGGTTATTTATAAATATGTGTTTTGCTTTTATTTAAAATTCGTATCAGTATGGTTATGATTTGTTGATGAATAGATAATTCATACTTTGTAAGTGAATGTGCCTTGCTGATGAATAGATGATTGCTTTTATTTCTCATAATCTACCTCTGCACAGATTTGAACATGTTTATATTTAACTTCAATAGTATAAACACCATAGAAACATATGGTATGTGTAAAATGAGGGAATCGAACTAAATAACCTCTAAAACTATTCCTAGTTTTAAATTCCATTAAAAAATTAAATGAATATTATGATTTATTAGTCAAATCACAGTGCTGCTTCTTCGGGTGCATGTGTATTTACCTAAAACATGTATTGTTTTAACCATATGCACACACTCTCTGCTGAATATTCGGGCACATTAGAAAGCAGCTCTGTTTTTCTATGAAAAAAAAAAACCCTAAAACCTATCTACATGGTGGCATCATTGTCCACAAGTGTTCATTCTTATCCGTGAAACTAATTTCTTTTTTCTGTTAATGTCCAGCTCAGCATCAGTTTGTGAGAGTGGGGCTTTGCATATAAATGCTTTATTTGTTTAATTGTAACATTCATTCTTTAAATAGAAGAGCCTGGCTACATTAACAATCCAAATAAAGTCAAAGTTTTATTTTATCCTTAATTGACAGCAATTAATTCTTAGATGAAATAAAATTGAAGTTATATATATGTAAAGGATTTGAAGGCCATGAATCCTGATACAAACGTCAAATAGTATTCTTATCAATAGTAGCAATCATAAAATATCAATTTTAAAATCGATATTTTAAAATCCATTAAACTATTGTATTTAAACTATAGAATTTCAATTGATTTAAGATTTCACAGTTTTCTAAATGCTTCATAATATTGTGTTACTTTTCCTACCAATTTTTCAATGGTTGGATAGAAATAAACTAACCTAAAAATTATATTTTTCAATATGCAATGGGAAATAGTAAGCAAAAGCTGCCCCTGCATTAAAATATCTGTCATCAGTTTATTTTAGAAAAAGAATTCTCTCATTGTATGTATTCTTTATATTCTTTTTATTTCATATATGTAATATATCTATATTTACATAAATATGTATACTGAAATATTCCTTTTTGATATAGCAAATATATATGGTTCTTTAAAATATTTATACTGATTCCTCTAATTAAATAAAATTTTTTGTAATGATTATATACTTTCTTTTTTCTTTTTATCTCTCTCGATTCTTTTACTAATTAAATAAATTTGCTAGAAAACTATCAAACAAATAAAATGAAAAAAGCTTCTATCTACCCATAGGCAGGACACAAGAATGTCTACCGTTGCCACTTGCAATTTTTTTTCAGATAAAGTTAGGTTAATTTTCACAGATTATAATGAACCAATTTAAATATTTACGTTTACAACACACACAAGCACACACACACTCACATACACAGACATAGCCTCACAATCAACAGTACTGGTTAAAATAAGAATCTCAAAGTATCCAAATGGCCTGATAACTCACTAATGTGCCAAGGTTGAATTTGCATACTTGTTTTTAACATTAAGTGCGATCATGAGGAAAACAGAAATACAGCATTTAAACAGCAATGGATTCAAATGCTGCCTTTCATCCCATCTTAATTTCATTCTCCATAGACTCTGGTGCCTCAACTACTTTCTAATGTCTGTGTTCTGTTGACTGTAAATCAATTTATTGCTTTTTTTAATTTTTATTTTTTGAGATGGACTTTTGCTCTTGTTGCCCAGGCTGGAGTGCAATGGTGTGATCTTGGCTCACTGCAACCTCCGCCTCCCAGGTTCAAGTGATTCTCCTGCCTCAGCCTCCCTAGAAGCTGGGATTACAGGTGCCTGCCACGATGCCCAGCTAATTTTTTGTATTTTTCGTAGAGACGGGGTTTCACTATGTTGGCCAGGCTGCTCTCAAACTCCTGACCTCAGGTGATTTACCCGCCTCAGCCTCCCAAAGTGCTGGGATTACAGGCATGAGCCACTGCGTCCAGCTCTGCTTTTTTTTTTTTTTTAACTAAGTATTTTGCTCATAAGCACTTCTGCCACATTCTGTATTCACTTGGTGTTTGCTCCTTCAGTGAAATTTTCCTGGTGTTACATTCTTTCTTGGGAATAATATATAAAATTCAAAACATCGAGACTAAATATCAAATCATCAGAACCAAGATTTCCTGATTGAAGGTCACAATGTAATCTAATTGGTATTTTTCTCAAAATGCACAATCACTTCCTAAAAATATCCAGATTTCTCAGAAATATTTATGTTTTTCTTCGAAGACCCTGCAGAAATTTTAACAAAAATAAAGTCATCTAAAGGGATTTTAAAGACTACAAGTTGTTGTTTTTCTTAAATGCACATTTATGTCTCTTCACCACTACATAGTTATGACAATTTTTCCCTCGGTAAAATGACTCTGGAGTAAGATGAAACAATAAATGGGTTAATAGTTATAAAGTTAAAGCTAACTCACAAAGAGGTTAAAGTATCAATGTGGAGAGTTCGCTTGGGCAGTACAGACCATATCCAACCACCACACTGCTTGCCATTAGGCACAACAGCAACAAATTTTTCAGCAGGAATGTGCAGGGGAAGGATTTGTCTGACAAGAGAAAGACTTCCATGTCAGGAGCCAAATACCACTAACTCCCCAAGGCTTAAGCCTACAAAATGCCAAATGATTACCGTGCATATGTGGAAACTTTTTTTCCTAGGGAAACAAAAGTATTTTAATGAATCACTGGAGTCTTTGGATATTTAGAAACAGATTTAAAAATAAAATCTACTGGCTATCTTTTTAAAATACAATGATTCTTTCATATTCAAAAACATGATTGGAGCTATAAGAAGAAATCACTATCCCAGGGTAAATATTTCAAAATCATAGAGGACATAAAAGCAGCACATTACTCTGTGACCATATATATTTTTTTTCTTTTGAGACAGGTTCTCGCTCTCATTTGCACTCATTGCACTCATTGCCCAGGCTGGAGTGCAATGGCGTGACCACGGCTCACTGCAGCCTCCACCTCTCAGGCTCAAATGATTATCTCACTTCAACTGGGACTACAGGTGTGTGCCACCATGCTGGCCTTATTTTTTATTCTAATTTTTTTGTAGTGACAGGATCTCACTATGTTGCCAGGGTTGGTCTCCAACTCCCGGCCTTAAGTGATCCTCCTGCCTCAGCCTCCCAGAAGTGTTGGGATTACAGGCATGAGCCACCGTGCCTGGCCACATATTTCCTAATTTACTTGGATAACAGATTTTGGTTCTTAGTCTATTTGGAGAAGGATAGGTCAAGTTATATGAGGTTGGGTCAAGTTAAGGAACATATATCACAAATCTTTTGTATATTTCATTTCACATAACTGTCCTCTCACATACACATATTTTGTCAGAATAAGTATTCCCAAGTAATAAGTTAATATGCAAATTACTGGGTCAGGATGGCCTAACTATAATGGTAAGTGGCAGAGATGGGATTAGAACCTATTTCTGTCTGTTTACAAAGCATGTACCCAGAAAATAGACTAAAGAAAATGTGTCTCTACGATATTTATTTTAACTGAATAAACAGACAAACAGAAAACATCAGTCAGCATGGCATCACATGCTAACTAGGACAGTCTAAAATTCATGACATTAAAAAGTTAGAGATTAAACAATGTCATGCTTTTAAAAACATATATAATTCTAGGTGAAATTGAACTTCTATGTCTAAGAACATATTATCTCCTTGACAAATCAGATACATAAAACAATTGTCTACAATTTTTCTGAAAATCTTATTTTGGAAATTTGACCAGTCAGTCTGTGAGACAAAATCACACCTCAGGATTCTGTGTTTGTTTCTCTGTTTTTGTTAACAGTAGGGAGGAGCCAACCGAAAATAATATAACTTAACAGGATGAGTTACTTTTGAGTGCATTTGCCTCTAAATGATTCTTGACATTATCAAAAAATCAAACCTAACCCCTCCAAGGAAGAAAAATTGCCAGTTTTGATGATGTTCAAAAAAATGTGCCACAGGCTTAGAGGCGATTTCAAAATTTACATTCCCAAAATGTTTTAAGCAATGATCATATCATGAGGGTATGTGTTCTCTCTCAAACCAACTACTTTGAAGGAGACAACAGTTTCCAACATATAAATTTCTAGTTAGTTTGTATAATTCTATTACTAGACTTAGGGTATAATTTCATTTTTAAGGTAATTTATCCATTATTCATTAATTTATCTAGTTGTCAATTAATACCTACCTTGTGTCAGAAATTATGCAAAGACTTGGAGTCACAAAGATGAAAGTCATAGCCTGTTCCTAAACTCAAACTTCTCATAGTTAATTGGAAGAGTATAGTAAGGGCAATAATAAATAAAGAGAGCCTCATGGTTTATTTATATGGCTGATGGCATTATAATCTCTAAGTGGCTAATATTCCAAAATTTAAAAGTAAGAAAATTCAAAAGATAACATAGGTTAATTACTAACTGTTTTCTTGTTTCTAAAGCAGCACAGATGGGAAGGGAATTCAATAAAAAAGAACTGAAATGGGAAAGAAGATTTGACCGAAACTATTTCCATGAGTCTGAGCAAGCCACTGAAGCTTCTGGCCCTTAGCTTCCTCTTTTGAAAACAAGAAACTTTGATTTGATTGTCTCAGAGGTCTCTCATCCAACTCTATATCTTAATAAGCAACATGCTGGAGCTCTAGACAAATTCACACTTAATTTTCTTTCTTACATTGGCTGCCTCTTCTGATATTTAGCCAAAAAAACCCTACAGATCATTGAAGAACAATTTATTTTCAGACATGGGTCATCTAGCCCAATTCCTAGGAATTAGTTATGGCACTTCGTTTATCTGTCTTCATATTAACAAGAAAGGATAGACTTTTAGAGTCCCCCTACTGCATCCTCCAATGACAAGTGTTTTGGCATACTGAAATCATTTGGTTTTAAGGAGAAATGACACCTGTTGAATTTAAGTCATTCTTCTTTTCTTCTTCAACTAAAGAAGGAGACAAGTGAAAAATGGTTCAGTTACCCTAGTTCAGACCACACTTGTAAATTACTGGCGTAAATCTGGTATCCACTGAACTATCAGTAAATATGGATTTATGAGTTGTTCTAGCAGCAGCTGTTTGGGTCTAATGGTTCAAGGCAGTCTTAGGTCTTCCTAAATGAGTAGTCAGAGCAGAAAACCAGCTGCTTAAAGAGATGTGTTTTGAAAGGTTCAGAGCAGAGCTTAGCTCAAAAGTTTTGCTTTCACTGTCCCTGACAGAGCCTCAAATTCAACTCTTAGAGAGCTTTTGCTTCTTGAATAAAAATGTTTTCTTGGAGGTAATACCCTAACATATTATCTATTACAAGATATATTAGTTTTCAGATTTTTAAAAAGTTAGTTGGACACAGAGCCTATGGAAGTGAGAACCAAGCTAAGCACCCAGGTCTTAGAATGACAGTCACCTAGCTTACAAGTTTGCTTTAAGATCTGCCTTAGGCATCATAAGCATAATAGTTTTATTCCCATTGAAAATTCCCTTTGCACAGATAGATATGACAAATATATATATATATACACACACACACGTATACACACACACACATATATACACACACGCACATAGCCCAGCTTCTTCTTCAGTAACCTGAAGAAACAGTGCATAGGAGAACAAGACTTTCCACTCTAAACACCTCTTTTACCATCTTATAGGTCACCTCCTTGCCATCTCCGGCTTTGTGAGATGTGAAATTTTACTAAGGGCTAGATAAGGTAGAACTTCCTTGCATTTAGCCAGAATACCCTTTACATAAATTTCCACAGTGTCACCTTGTCCTGGCATTTTGTTTCTTGGTGAACACATCCTCACTATGCATGATTTTATGGTTCTCAATCTTGCCCTTACCATCATCATTGTAATCTCGATTCTGGTTGACTGCCAGAGATAAGAGTTCAATTATTTTAACATTTAATTTTTCCTCCAGCTTTGAATTTTCTGGCTGGGAAGTTATAGGGAGCATGAAGCTGTGGGGCACTTTAAGTCTCGAAGTCTCTACAGTGAAGTTAATTTGTGTAGTGTGAAGTTATAGGGGCTGTTCTTTCTCAAAGAAGTCCTGTATAAATTTTTATAAATCTACTTAAGTCCTTACTTACAGTTGCAAGAAAAATAGATCCTCTGCCTCAAATAAGTTGTCTGTGAATTGAAACTACTTTGGTTATAACTGTATTCTTTTCTCTTAATGAATCTAAACTTATGTTGGAATAGCAATAATAGATGAGACACTTAACTGCTAATACCACTTCCTGTATTTTATTTTAGATAAATAAATATTCATTTGCTAACTGGATATACTGTTTCATCAACAAGGGTGCAACATGGATAGCATAAGTCATTAGCATAATCCAAATGCTTGCTAACGGCCTTTGGAATGCCTAAACTTAAAAAAGTACACTACCAAGGACTTGGAAAGAATCTCGCACTCCAACGCCAAAGAATCTATTGCATATTAATCTTCATTAGAAAAAAAATTGATTGGGGACCTAAAGACAAAAATAAGCCTATTGTGCAATAGCAAAACATTAAAAAAATTTAAAAAGCTTTAGGAAATTTCATGTCATTGTACAAAGATGCTACACCGGAGAAAGGGGGATCTGGTGATCCTAATTTTGTCACCAGCTTTGAAATCTTTAGCTAGGCATTTCAGCCCTATAAAAATCCATTTTCTCACTTGTAAAAAGAAGAGTTGAAGTTATGTTTTTCCAGGGCTTTTTTCTCTGACAAACCGAATTGCAGAACAATTTTATGACTCAACCAACGTAGCAGAGTCCAGAGAGAGTTTGAAAAAACACCTTACAAAACTTATAACTGAAGTTCTCCCTCCAAGGGCACTTAATTTTTTCAAGTGAAAGCATGCATGCAGATTCATCCAGCTGTTACCCTGGAAGAGGACAGAGTAAATATACTCCATTTTATATGAAGCCCAAAGTGTGATTGTTAAAAATCCCCATGCACAATTAGAAAACCAGTGACTGTTCTCTGTCTCATCTATAAACTGCATAATTCTGAAACCTTTGACAGCATGTGCTGAGAGACTGAGTCAAGGGTTCTCCTGAGGAGTTGTTAGAGACTGACATATTAAAGCCAGAAAGAGATGGTGGGCATGCGAAACAGGTCACCCAGCATCCCTCAGTAATTTTGGCTCTATAAACCCCACTGTAGGATTTATACCCAGCCATGCAATTTCTAGTAATTAATGTCAGGGACAATAAAATGTATACTTTGCACATATTTTAGCTTACTTTGACTTTTTAGCCCACTGTATACCTAAGTAACACACTGCAGTGCAAGCTAATATATATATACAGTTAACTAGGTTTTTAAAATGACATTCACTTATTACCCACCTACAACATGCAATATGTTCAACAAAAACCTAAACTTAAATTTCAGGTGCACATTTGTGCTTATCGGAAAACAGGTGAGAGTACACATGCCTGGATAATGAAGTTCTGTTATTTCCAAAATAATTCTCAATGTTATATGATCATTTGTTAAGAGGAAAAATATACCTGTGTTTAAAATCCATCATAAGGAATCATTTTGATACAGTAATTAATAAGGACTTCAGAGCCATACAGTTTGAGGGGGAAATTAGTTGACAGATACACTACTACAATTGAATACAGAAGTAATATAAAACTTTAATGCTGTCTTTTCTAGCATTTTTTAAATGGCTATTAAAATTTCTTGATTGCTGTTACTTTTCTTCGCTCCTTTTCCATTTTTTCCTTCTCCAAAAATCAATTTTTCAAATTCAGTAGGAGTTGTAGCCCTTACTTTTGTCTCCCAGGCAAGATGCTATTAGGGGTCACTTCCCATGTACGGAGAAAACAATCTTCATGGATAATAATGATAAAACCTTATGGAATGCAAAAACAACCAAAATATGTATTCTCGGATGACTGCATTAGGGCCAAGTCAATATTAGTCCCACTTCACCCACGCATTGCATAGTCTAAAAATGCTGTCAGCCTGATAAGAATTTCCTGATTTACTCTCTTTTCCAATAGAAAATGTAGGTCATCAAAATAAACTTCTGACACTAAAAGAACAGTAGTTACACTGTCAAGTCTTTTTTTTTTTATTTCGTTAGCCAGTTATGGTCAAACAGTTTCTTTACTTGACCAAAAAAAAAAAAAAAAAAAAAAAAAAAAAAAAAAAAAAAAAAAAAGAAGAAGAAGAAGGAGAAGAAAAAGAAGAAAAAGCAACATGAAAATTTCCAAGCACCTCCCTATGGCTCACTCAGCCTAACATCTAGTTAAGCAATGTCTACAAAAGCCCAAAATATAGAAGTTGATCATTATGTAACCAATCAATGTAGATAAATTGTTTTCTTTTTAAGAAGCTCAATGGTCAGAGTTTTCCTGATTTTTATTTTATTTTATTTTTTACTTTTTAAAATTGTTGTCTTCAGTATGTTGACGGTTTTAGCAAAAGAAATGAATTTGGGGACCGAGTCTCAGGGCTATTGCAAACATTATATAAAGTACTGGAGTCATTTCTTATTGAAAACTTTTATGATTGGCAATTTGCCATTTTCTCTGATACCGAATGTTATTTTCTAGCTCAAAAAAAAGTGTTACAGTATTAACTCCACACCACAGATTCATTAATTTCACAACCCTAAAAAATAAAGCCATATTTGAAACAACTTCTACTAGTTTGTTATTTTATAAAGGAGGAAAGTATCTTTCTGAACATGTAGAGAAGTTTTAGTTTGTTGCTCATCCACATTCCAAATGATAATTGAAGACCTCTGTAATATCAGAGATGCTTTGAAATGCTGGTGCTGCTGAATATTTTTTTTAAGAGGATAGCAAGAAAGTAGGGCTCCTTCCTCTTTTGCCCTAATTGGTTCTGGTTAAGCTGGTACTATTTAGCAGATGAATCTGGGGCATGTACCCTTCCAGAATTAGCTGAATTTCATAGTTCCTAAATTCTAAACGGAAAGTTAGATTTCTTTCTAAAGAGTAGCACTGTAATTCTAGCAAAGAGACAGAAGTAGAGGAAATACAGAAAGTAAAATGTCAGATTAATTAACAGCCCAAACCTAAGAAGGTTTGCAATAAAACATGTGGTACCTAAGAAAGTAAAAAGAAATAAATCAATATATTCTATGGATGGTAATTTCCTAACCAAATCTAGTTATTTTTTTTAAGTTTCTCCAAATCCGCCCACCCTAATTCCCATAGTCTGAGGTGGACTCTATTTTGGTACAGCCCTTGCCACATACATTTTTTATTTTAATGTAGCACTAACTAAGCCTTGGCACACTCTCCGTTGTATCCAGAGAGTAATGTCCAAGGGCGCCTCGTGCCAAATTCCCCAGAACTCTACTGTTCCTTCTAAAGTAACTATATCATCTCCTCAGTTCACGACCCCTTATTATGGACATCTTCAGTTACTCTTGGAAGAGTGGAGACTCAGCATCCAGAGATTCAAGGTAACCTTTTGGCCGAGGGACCCACTGTCAACAGACTGAACACGTACAAACTCTGTGCTTTGCTGGAATTAAAAAATGAATGAAGAACCTTGGAATCCATCCCTGTCCTCTAAGTCACAGTCACCGGGAGAAAGATTCTGTGGAGAAGTTCTAGTAACACCCGATAGACATTATGCTAGACCAGTGTTCCCCCATGAAAGTCCCAGATCATTTCGTGAACTCACTCTCCAGGTAGCTTCCCCTACCTCTGTCAGCGCACTTCATCTTCCTCATCAATAAAACCCTGAAACATTCCATCTTTCCAAATAAACAAAATAGTTGGTTGAAAGGAAGTTTACTCACATGGTCCTAAGATAGATGCCCTTGGTGAGCTTCAGAGAACTGAGTCCTAAGAGCTAGGGTGCCTAGGAGGAGCAGCCTCTGAGCTCCGGTGACCACAGCTCAATGAAGCCCCCAGCTAGGTCATGCCTCACCCACCCGTCCACCCTGCTGCTCTCCCTTCCCGGCTCTCTCGGGATGGCTTTCTGCTCAAGGACGCTCCCGCAGATCCCAGAGCATCCTCTGCGCCACGCGTGCCGGCGGGACGTCGCCGAGCCCCAGACCGATACTCTCGATGCCCTTCGCCCCCGCCCCCAGCAGGCTGCCCGTCCGGTGACTCACCTGCTGGCCAGGTTGGGGCGCCGGCTGATAGTAGGCTGTGGGGCAGGTTGTCGCTGCCATGGGGTTGGGCAGATACTGGGACGCTCCATAAGGCTGGGGGTGATACATCACCTCCGCACAACTCATGGCAGCCGGGGCAGTGGCGGCCCCCGAGCTGCCGCCGCCGCTCTACGCGCTGGCGCGAGGGGCGCGGGCGCCGCCGCCGCCGCAGCTGCCGCCTCTGTCGCTGCTCCAGCTGCTACTGCGGCGAAGGCGGGTCCTCGGCGGCCTCGGGCTCCGCGCGGGGCGCGGGGTCGGGAGGGACTGGCAATCAGCGGGGGCCCATGCGCGGGCACCTTCATCTTCAGCCCCTCCGGATGTTCCCTGCCGCGCTTATATAGCGGCTCAGGGACGCAGCCGCCCGCTGCGCCGCTGGGGCATTACCGCGTCCGGCTCCCGCGAGGGCTGCGGCGCCCACGGCAGCGCCAGTCACAGCCACAGCCCAGGCCCGGGTCGGGCAGCCGTGGGGAGCCCAGCTCCGGTTTGCATATACACAATGCACGCCCGGGGCTCGTCCTATCACGGGTGCTCCCGGCTGTGCGAGGACAGGGAGGCGGGGGCAGAGGGAGGGGGAACGCCGGGGAGAAGGGGGAGCACTTTGCCTCCCCAGGCTCTGACGCGGAACTTTGCAAAGTTTCTCCAACTCGCTTTGCAGCGGGCGGGTCACCCTGCAGGGGGACCCCGGGGAAGGCTGGCTGCGGATTGGAGCGAAGTTTGCAGCCCTCTCCGCCTCCCAGCATGGGATGGTGGTGGGAGGGGAATGGTATGCAGAGGCTCCGCGCCCTCAAGGCTCGGCAGGTTCCCACCCTGTCTCTGTCACCTGGCCGCCAGGGCGAGGGCTTCCCTACTCCAAGGAGATTTTACAGGGAACACCAACTCAGAGGCTGGGACCAAACAAAAGCCGAGTGTACAAAGGGGTAAAACAGAGCAGGCGCAGAATACACGGGGATTAGCTCCTACATTAAAATAATCATAAGTGAAAGTTAACATCTCTGCAAGTGCCCACATGCCAAGAATGCAACACAGTTTTCCACAAGCAATCTCTGCTTTAAGTTTACATCTTCATGGTATGACACTGCTGTGAGACGTCCACCATTTCTGGCTTTTACAGCCTGGTTTTCACAGAGCAATAAAGGGTAGTTGATTAAGCCCATTCGCTAATAAAGGTTTATCTCTTTGCAATTGGATCTGACCCTCTCCAAAATGGGGAAAAAAACGTCTGTGAGAATATACTTGTATTCTGACATAATCAGTAGAAATAATTATACTCACATTATTTTATTTATTTTGAGATAGGGTTTCCTTCTGCCGCCCAAGCTAGAGTACAGTGACATGAGCACAGCTCACTGCAGCTACCACCCCCACGCTCAAGAGATCCTCCCATCTCAGCCTCTGGAGTAGCTGGGACTACAGGCGTGCATTACCACGCCCAGGTAATTTTTTTAATTTTTTTTTTTATAGAGAAGGGGTCTTGCTATGTTACCTAGGCTGGTCTCCAACTCCTGGCCTCAAGTGATCCTTCTGCCTCGGTCTCCCAAAGTGCTGGGATAACAGGCATGAGGCACCGCACTGGGCCTCATTTTATAAATGAGCAAACTCTAGCTCTGAGATTCAGCAAACATATCTCTCCTTATACGTAGGCATCCTCTTTTATGACTCACAGCAATCTCTCATTTTTACAGTCTATCTTTTCTCAGAGAAAAAGTCAGTTTGAAAGTCAAATGCACTAATGTTTTTATAGTTTGAATTATGTCTTCCCAAAAATGTATATATTGAAGCCCTAACCCACAATATGGCTGTATTTGAAGACAGGACATATAAGGAGGTGATAAGGTTAAATGAGATTTAAAAGGTTGGGCCCTAATCTAATAGGACTAGGTTCCTTATAAGAAGAGAAAACACGCCAGAGATATCTATGTCTCCCCCAAACCCCACTCCCTGTCTCTCTGCTCTGTCAAAGAGGAAAGACCATCTGAAGTCATAGTGAGTTACCTACAAGCCAAGAAGAAAGGTCTCACCTTGAAACCAACACTGACCACACCTTATCTTGTGCTTCTATCCTCCAGAACTATGAAAAAATTAACTTTTTTTTTTTTTTTTTTTTTTTGAGACGGAGTATCGCTCTGTTGCCCAGGCTGGAGTGCAATGTCACGATCTCGGCTCACTGCAACCTCCTCCCGGTTCAAGTGATTCTTCCGCCCCAGCCTCCCGAGTAGCTGGGATTACAGGCACCCGCCATCATGCCCGGCTAATTTTTGTACTTTTGTAGAGACAGGGTTTCACCATGTTGGCCAGGATGATCTTGAACTCCTGACTTCAGGTGATCCGCCCACCTCGGCCTCCCAAAGTACTGGGATTACAGGCGTGAGCCACGGTATGCCCAGCTTAATTTGTTTTTTTAGGCCACCTAGTTTGTGGTATTTATGACAGCCCTAGCACACTAATGCAGATATACAGTTATCATATATCGTTAATGTTTACATAAGTGTCTGTGTGTATGTCTAGGTACACAGATACATACACATGTATAAACACACAGGCATACACACACACACTGACACTATAAAAATTGGATAGGAACTTTTTGCTACGCCGCAACAGCTTTTATTCAATCATTTTATCACTGAATATTAAAAACATATTTATTAAGGGTTTGCACAGTTCTTGGACTTTAAATTGTGCTCTTTGTAGTACAAGAGTATTTCCAGCAATAATATGTTTCATAATTTACTTTAAACGTTTATTATTGTCTTTTCCCAAATTGACCTCCTTTGATCAGATCCCTTCCTGTGTTCCAGATTTATCTATTCAGTTCTTTCTAGGTAGCTCCACATAGGTGTTACATAAGGACCTCAATCCTAATAGTACTGATTGTCTCATGTCCCCAGTTTGATCCTCTTTTTTAATCTTCATCTCTACTGAAACTCCCCCACTACCAGTTGTCCCAGCTAGAAATGTGGGAATCTTCTGGCACTCCTTCCTTCTCCTCACAGTCCCCACACCTGGTCTTGGAGTCAAGTTGACCCCAAATTTTCCATTTCTACTGACTCTCTCCTTATCTCTGTTGCTATAATCGTTAGTTTGCTCGGCATCTCTCACTCAGACTCCTGCAAGAGACTCTTAGTGATTTCCGGGTCCCAAGGCGAGACTTCTTCCTGTTCTTCATAGTTTATACTACTCTTTAATGACCCAGCCACTGCAAATCCAACTGTGCAATGATGATTCATTCTTCTTTTAAAAATTTCACAGTCACATCCCGCAGTCTGTAGAAACAACTCTTTAACCTTCAGATTCTGATCCCTGCCCATGTCACTACCTCCTGCAAATGTTTACCAGCTATCTGAATTGAGATCTGCATTCTGCGAAGAAGCCGTGGTACTTTCTACCAGCATGTCATTTTACATATGAGCAGAGCATTTGCACCAACACATCCCTCACCCTCTTCACTTGTTAACTCCTTCTTGCTCTTCATGTAATTGTCTTCCAAAACATCCGATGAGGATCAGCTTTAATGCTCCTATTTTCACCAGCTCTTGTTCTTTTAAGAATACGCTCCCATCATACTAATAATTAACTACTTGATTTGAAGTTGCTTATTTGCTTGTTTCCCCAATATGACCATGGCTGCTTGAGAGGAGAGACTGTGACTTTTATCTCTAAATTTCACTAAATTTCAATCATATGATATCTGGCTTAGTAAATATTCTTTGAATAAGTAAAGTATATAATAGGAGGAGAAACAAAAACTATTAGAATAACTTACAAATTCTTGGTGGGATCTGAGCACATATAAAATCAGTGAAGCTATAATGTAGAATATGATTTCAAACTCTGTCTTAGGCTTTCTGCTGTATGTTAGATTGAGAAAATCCTTATGATGTTAAAAAAAAATAGGACCTAGAATATAAAGTGACTGAATTAGGACACAGAGCAAATTTGTGAGGACAGCCACTTCTCAATGCCAAACCTCCTGTTCAAATGTTTAATGCCTCCAACTTTTTTCAAATAACTTTTATCTGTAGTTGATTTTTTTGTACAATTATGAGTTTAATATCTGTCTTTTTAGCTAGACTTTGGCAGAGGTTATTTATATCTTGTTCATCTCCATATCTAACACTTCGAAGACATTCTATATATATTTTCCAAATGATAAAATAAAGCCAGAACTTGATTCAACATGTCCATACCCCTCATTGCTGCATCTTCCGTGCTCCCTATGGCCTCTAGTGCAAATATTTATTCTATGACAAAAAAAAGTTATTTGGTACTAATACGTCATGGACACAAAAGTCTGTAGGTGTTTGGCAAAATCTTCCTACAATGCAATATCTTTTTTGATACCTTTCTTTGTTTCTATATTGTGTACTGCTGGAAGAAGATAAGAGAGTAAAGATTAATTCTACCTAGACTTAGAATCTACAGAAGTGGACAGAGAGAGAAAATAGCTTGTCAAAGCCTGCAGTCTTAGTGAGGTCATTAATAAAAATTCCGATAATTCATGTTAGGGAAATCTACATTTGAGTTCTAGTAGGAAAGCAGATGTACCTGACTTCCCCTGGGTAACTATTTAGGGTTTTAAAGTGGAAAATAATAAAAAGGATCATCAAGCTTAAAACATCCTTTTTCATAGATAAGTAAATATATGATCTGATTAATGTCTTCTAGGGAACTAGTGGCAGAACTAAAACCAAAGTCCTGTTTCTCTTGACTCTTGATTTAGTTCTCTTTCCATAATTGCATAATAAAGATATATAAACAAATACATATGCATATGTATATGCATACATACATTATACATGTGTGTACATATTCCTAGATATTACTTATGTATGTGTGTATATATATATTATATATATAATATATATTATACATATATTATATATAATATATATAATATATATTATATATAATATATATATAATATATATTATATATAATATATATATATACACACACACACACACACACACACATACATATACAAAGGAAGAAGTTTTTGATCAGATCGTCCTTGGGTCAACTTGGAGTTGAAGAAGAGGAGTGTGTGTATGGGGTGGGGATGCGGGCCAATTGCATTTAGCAAGAGTGAGTCACTCAGATCAGAGAATGTGATCTGACCGCTGGTGTACTCATTGTCGTCTCTGCTATGTAAGGGTGTCACAATTACTTGGAAAAAGCAGCAATGGTATGGAATTTAATTCTATGTAGTTCTGAGCTAAAGTTCCTCAAAGTTTACCCTTCTTTGATTTATCCTTTTACACTACTCCACCGCTTTTCTGGTTCAATTCTGATGTGGTACCTGATCTAAATAAATGGACTTAAACATTTCCAACTCTTCTGAATTGTGACTTTACAGTCACTACATTTTTGCCCCCACCACCAAATTTCTCAAAATGTTTGTTTCCAAATTCTCCAACTGGAAATTAGTGAGGTGAACCACCCCCCGCCTCTAGTTTTATTTGGAGGGATAACTTGAAGTGGGTTTTCCTAATATATTTTGGAATAAGATAGGGTAAAAAGTGGGGGCAGCTTATTTTTTGAGTGGTGACAGCCACCCCTGCCTTTAACTTGGGATCCCAATGTAAGAGAACTCCCTGGACCCTGCAGTACGTACATGTAGATATCTCAAACTAAGTATTTAAATCTCCTCTACCTGCCCCCTGCTACCAAACAGTTGAGTTTTGACCAGTCCTTTACCCTAAGCTGAGTCCACTGACAATGCAGCCTGCTCTAGGAACCATGGCTCTGCGGAAATGGGCCTGCGTCATCTGTGCAGGAAATTGTCAGGTCTTGAGTAAAGAAACATAGTTGTTCTAGGCAGAATTATGCCCCTCCCCAAAGATGTCCACATTCTAATTCCTGGAACTCTTGAATGTTCTGTTACTTAGAAAAGGGGAGTTAAGACTGCAGATGGAATTAAGGCTTGCTAATGAGAGGATTTTAAGAAGATAAGCCTGATTCTTTGGACGGGCCCAATGTAATCATTATGAGGTGGGCCTCCTCATATAAGGGAGGCAAGGGACAGAGGAGTCTCCCATACTGATGCAAAGAAAGAAAAATGACTCTGCAGGCCATTGCTAGTTTTGAAAATAGAGGGGAATTGAATCATCAGCCAAGGAATGCAGACAGCCTTTAGAAGCTGAAAAAGGCGAGAAAATGGGTTTTCCTAAAGTCTCCAGAAAGATCACAGCCCTGCTGACACATGTGAGCCCTGTTTTTGTACTTCTGATTTGCAGAACCATAAGTTACTAAATTTACCTTATTTAAAGCCACTAAGTTTGTGGTAATTGGTTACAGTAACAATAGAACCCAAATACAATGGTAGGATGGTGAAGGAGACGCTGGAAGAGGTTTTGGGTGAGCAATTCCCCTTTGCCCTACAATTTCCTATGGGGAAAGCCACCACAGGAAGAGAGCTAGTGAGGGGTACTGTAAAGCTCAGGGCCAGGGAAGGCCTCTAGTTGCCTGGATCTAAGAGTGGTATCAATGGTGCCAATGGGATAGAAGTAAAAACAGGAGGTCAAAACTTGCATGTAAGAATGAAGATCATTTTAATCAGTTGTCATTCAGGATCACCTGCCCTCCTCAATGGCACTGAAACTTTACTATGTTTCTCTAAATGTGCTTACCCACATCCTCTTGGCAACTATTGCTTCCCGTCTTGTCCACCATTCTCATATCTGTCCAATTCAAGTTTATCCACGTTCTCCATCTCTGTTCCCTATTTTGCTCCATCACCTCACCAACATATATTAAGGTCAATAATACTGAACATGTTGCCCAATTCAAAGTTAACTGTTAAAACCTCATCCTAATTGATGCTTTATAAATTTTGCCATTGTGAATTAATCCCTTCTTAAAATTCTTTCTTCTACTGACATCTTTTCATGGTATCCTCCTGTCTGCATCTGTTTCTTTATACTTTGGCTGTTCTTCCCGTTTCCTTTGCTACATCCTCCTCTACCTAAACTTTAAACGCTGAGTATCTTAGTATTTGGTCCTGTGCCCTTTTCTCATCCTTAGGTAGTACTTCTTGAAGGTATTTTATATGTACTCTAATTCGAGGTTTTTTTTTTTTTTTTTTTTTCCTGATGAGTTTACAACATCTAGTGAAGTACTCCCTTCTCTTATTAATGACTCTTATGAGGTTGTTAGAGTACACCTCATATAAAGACTCTGAGGCTGGGGTTTCAACTGTAACAATTAATGATGGGCTACTTTCAATCTTCATGGTTTGATTTATTTAATGAAAAACGAGACTTTAAATATTTCTGGTTGACTCAGCAGAGACACATAGCAAATGATAGCACCTGCTTCACACAAAATTCTCATTCGCTGGGAGCCCAGCCAGGGTTGGCCAGGACCCTCTCTTAGCACCTCTATCTACCATTAGCATACACTCCTGAAAGAGTCAGCACACTCTTTCTGTTAAATGATTTTTTTCCATAATTTCATTAAATTTTTTCATATTTTTTCATGAATTTGCCTGGAGCTACAGGATTTCACTAGAAGGCATACACACACACATATGCAAATATATGTGTATGATACTATATTACTAGTATATTTTATAGATACTTAAACATAGAGGAATCCAAGATGAGAAATAGTGAGGTGAGATGAAAAGATGTCAAGACACTACTTAGGATCTATCAGCAGAGTGAGGTGATAGATATGTTAATTAACCTGATTTAATCATTCCACAATATATACATATTCTACATTCTACAATATATCATAACATCACATTGTACACCCTTAAGTGTATACCATTATTATTTGTAATTAAAATGAAGTTTAAAAAAATACAGGTTAGTCTAACAAATGTTCAGATAACATCACCTCATCATTTAACTATGTGCTGTTAAAATGTTAATTATTTTTAAAATATTAGCAAAGAATATGTACTTAACTGTATAATAGGGTTATCTGTCTTCACAAATGACAGACCTTGAGTTCATTGCATACTTTGAGTTTGTTGTTTGTTTCTTTGCTAGTTTTCCTCATAGTAATGACAGATCTGGGCTAATGTAACCACATTGTCTCTCTCGGCCTCTGACAAGTGGAATACATTCACATGAAGTCTGGCCTGGGTATGAGTACAGTTCTGTCCATGGAATGGAACAAAGCTAAGTAGGCCAAGGGGATTAAACCCTTGATCTTGGCATCATTAGCACTGTGTTCTAACCCACCAGGCTAACTAACCACAGACAAAGACCAATTGGACTAATAAATCACAGCAGCCAGAAGTATCTGGTTTGCATTTATATCTCATTTGTAATACATTATTTTTATAATTTGATTTAAATATTTTAAAATAAAAAATGTAAAAAGAAAAAGAGAAAAGAAAAATAAAAACTTTGGAAGAAATGAAGCCAGAGGCAATGTTGCTATCATTCAGAAGAGAGAAAGCAGGAAGGAAAAGCTATCCCACACGAATTCCCAGCACAAAGTAAGACTATGAGATGTGCTCTCGCTTTCTACGAGAGGTGTCAGCTGAGAACGTTGAGAGAAAATCACAATTCTTTTAAGTAATTTATGTTTAAGAAGCTTTGTATATAAGGAAAGCTTTTTTGAACCACTTTGAAGGCCAATAGCTTTTATGAAAATAAAGTACTGTTATGAAAAACAAAAATCTTCTGCTCTGTTGTTGCTGTTTCCAGATTTTCAGTTTTGTGTTTGATCCAAAAATGAGGTATGCATGTATTTTCACATCCTAAAAGTAACTCAGTTGCATCCCAACTGCCCAATTCATTCTCATTGTATAAATAGGTCACTGGAGAGGATGTCTTAGCATTATTGTCCCTGTGGATTTTGATTCCTGGAATATATTCAAAATCCCATCTATTTCCAAAGCCCATTATAAGTAGTACCTCCTTTAGGAAGTGTATCTTAACATTTGAAAATTGACTTCCCTATACTGTTATAATTTGTGTTGCCTGCATCTTACATTTGGAGACTTGATTGTATGTAATTATTATTGTTGCTCCTTATTTTGCTCCAATCATTTCCATTATCGTAATTGTCTCCCTAATGAGAAGACAAATTCCTTAAAGGAAAAGGCAGAATTAGATACCTCTTGGATGACTCACACAGCACAAAAGGTAGGCACAAAGTTTGTACCTGCTGAATTTTATTTGAATTTAACAATTACACCTGTGATCTATGAATATTGTGGGATTGTTAATCTACAAATGTTCTTGCTTTGGTCTCTTTCAACACCAAATAAGAAGAACAGAGATGCTAAGAATTTTTATGTGAACATTATACAAGAAATATATGTTGCATTATTTTTTAGCTTAATTGCCTAATTTACTTTTATGAGTAACTTATGTCTTCAAGTAGATGTCTCTTTGAAAAAAATATCTACAGAATAATGTCAAAATGTTGAATGTGATGGGCAATACTTTTGAAGTTTTTTATTTTCTAAGAATTCTAACTACAGCAGTTTTGTTAGTATAGTACAATTACAGTAAAACTGAAAAATATAAAATAAATTATTTCAGAAGCTGTGCATCACCTTCAGTAACTATAAATACTAGCATCTCATCTTCACATGTTTGTATCTTGAGGCCTTGCAAAATCAAGTTCATCTTGGTGGTATAGTAAGGGACAGATTTCCTGAAATTATCTAACCATAACATAAACTTGATGAATATAAAGGAATAAAGTAACAGCAATAACAGCAATAGTAATAATGATGATAACAGTTAACCTTTAG
Source organism: Homo sapiens (assembly GCF_000001405.40). Lineage (NCBI taxonomy): Eukaryota > Metazoa > Chordata > Mammalia > Primates > Hominidae > Homo > Homo sapiens. Next base: position 87,000,378 of record NC_000003.12, read on the forward strand.
AGTGCCTACAATATTGTAGGCAGGTCTTAAGTGCTTTACACATACTAACTCATTTACTCCTCACAACAGCCTCATGAGGTAAGAACAATAATTTTCCCCATCATACAGATTAGGAAATTGAGGCACTAAGTGGTTAAGTGATTTTTTCAACGTTATCCAGCCAGTCAATCTGTTTCCACAGTTCAGCCCTTAACCAGTGTGCATACTATGTCTCAAAGGTGAGGGTGTTGAAGAAAGTTGATGTGTAATTTTGCCCGTTCTAGATCATTTTACCCATTCTATTATAAAAAGTCATAGTCTCTTGTCTACAATTTGTTCCTAGAAACTGAGCAGATAACATCATCTCTGAAATCTAAGATGATGTTCTGTACTCTAGACAACAATGATCTTCACTAGAAGGAAAAACTGTGGGTGATAATAACCTGTCCCCTACATATGCCAGCTTCTTGGAATCTCAAGGGGACAGGGACAGTGAAAGTAAACAAACCAACTAAAATAAAACAACACCTAATGCCTTAATATAATACTTGCCCAGTTATCTTATTTGTAGAATCCAAATATAAATTTTATTCTTTCTTAAAAGTGAATAACTGAAATAATGGCACGCCCGCTGCCAACTTTGTAGAATTAAATCTCATAAATTCTCAAAGACTGAACTGCTTGTTTATATTTTCCTTGGGAGCACACCATGTTCTGTATAGATAAAAACAATTTAAAAAGAAAACCTAAAAGAAATTTCTGAGCATTTGGTAATCAGGTCATGACATCATCAACTTCAGGAATGATGAGAATATGAGGAACTCAATGTGAACAAATGGGAGAGATAAAGATATTGGGAGCTATTCTTGGACAATGTGAGATACGATGCTGAATATTAATTGTTACTTCAAACTCAGGAAATGTGCAAAAATTAGACATTAACTAGAGCGTTGCTACTCAAGGTGTGGTCTATGGTCCAGCAGGATTGTTATTACCTGAGTTAGAAATGAGTAATCTCAGGGCCCCAGTTCAAATCTGCAGAATCTGAATCTGCATTTTGATAAGATCTTCCAAGCACATTAAAATTTGAGATTCACTGAACTAAAGTGTCTCTCTATACCCAATATCAAAATGTAAAATCACATCACTTATATTACCTTTTAGCCTAATTTTTAGACCACAGCCACCTTAAAAAATAGACTAATTATGTTATATTTATGGCAATTTAAATATATAAAGCCCTTTCCCGGGCACTTACCTCATGTAAAATCCTTATTCTGCCTTTGAGAAATTCAGAATATGTACATGTTTTTAATGGTAAACTGTTGCTAAGAGAGAAATTATCATGGGGACAAATACACAGAGGTGGTAGTTTAAACCTTTATCTTGCAAATCCAAATTCGGTATCCAAATCCACTTTAACACCCTCACCTTTGAGACATAGTGAGACCTTTTCCATTTCTGAGACAAGCAACTACAGTTGTCAGAACGTTATTAAGTTGTGTTCAGGAAATTCTGAAGAGTTGACAGTCTATTTTTCTGAGACACAATGTATTCCCAGTACAATTTCCGGTCTTCATGAAGGTAGAAAATGTGATTTAGTCAAGCACATGTAAACTATGTCACCACTCTAAGATTTTCTTGACATTTTCTGGATAAACACAATGGTTTGAGGTTAAACTAGACATTTCAGATGTTTCCCTTCTTCTGCCTGAAATGTTTATTAGGCTATTTGGTGGGGTAGGGGAGTGCACATGTGGGGCCATGGTATGGAGGAGACGCTGTGGTTGCCTCAGGTTCTTAGTCCTGACACCCCACGTAGCCATCTCTACTCTTTCCCCTTGCCATGGTGACATTCTTGGGAGTCTGCTGCCTCTTGGCATGCTAGGCAGAGAGCAGAGGCACAGGCATTCCATCCTGTAAAATTCCATTTATGACTGGCTTCTATTTCTCCTCTTCCCTTTTAGGATCCAACTCCAAGGGTGGGGACAGGAGAGGAGTGGACAGGCCAGAGGTGCCCCCTCTCATATGCTTTCACCAATTCTCTACTCTTTAGTTTCCTGTACAACTCTTCGCTATTTCTTCTAGCCCAGAGAGTTCTTATCTCTTCAAAGGCAAGAAAAACTAGATCTTCCAGTATTCTTATGTGGCTTTAATTTTAAAGCTTAAAAGTCAGGAGTTGGATGGTTTTGTTTTTCAGTTTCCATAGCTGCCACTTCCCCTTAAGGCAATGCCTGCCTCAAGTCCGTCTGGTGACCTAAATGGAGGAGAGGTAACGGGGTAAAATGGAATGAGGTATGGCAAGCATCGGTTAATATTTAAAAATATTGTCCTTTCTGGTGTCCTATAATTCTCATGAGATATATGAAAGTCTAGAGCATTGGACTTTCTAGAGTTTAAACCATGGAAACTTGGGCTCATCTAATCTGTTTGTCTGAGAATATTTTAGATACTGAATTCAGTTCTTGGTACCACTCTTTAAATGTCATTGTCAACCTAAGGGATGGTCTTAGGAAAAGAATCAAAATGGAAAGGTGTCTGGGAATGATTTCCTGTGAGGCCTGATTACATGAAATATGATTACTTAGCCTACAAAAAAATAGACTAAGAGGAAATAAATATTTAAATATCTATCATATTTATAGGGAAAAGTAAGTAAGCTTTTGCTATTGTTGTTGCTTGTTCCAAGAGCAGAATGAATTAGAATCGGTGAATTATATTTAAGAAATCTCACTTTAGTTCAAATTAAGTATGGCAGACAAAACATTGCCATTTTCATTTTACTTCTGGATAGAGCAACATTATAGAAAAGCCCCAATTCCTGAGATATGATTTGAAGGGAAAAGCCACGAGGAAGGCATGCATTTTACACATATCAAATGGTGATATGAGGGAGAAATAAAATTTTTATTATGTAATGCCATCACTAATATTTTGTGATTTTTATTTTATCACAGCATATTCTCCTACCTTGAATCATATAGTAAGGAAGAATTTCCTGGAACAGATATTTAGCAATGAACTGGATTTCCCATGCAGAAGTACCTATTCTATTATGGAAATTATTGAGCAGTAAAAAGAATACATTTATTCAATAAATGTTTCCTTAAATTTACTTTTACATTTCTTAAAATACGTATCTTCATTGAGTACATACTATGTGCCCACTATTCTAGTATGCAATGAAGAAAAATTGGTAGGCAAGATCAGCATGGCCTCTACAGATTGACTGGTTGTTTTGATTAGGTGATTTTTATGTTTGCTTCTGATCCTAAAAGTTTTAGGATCAATTTAATAATAGATCCTAAATCCTACTGCACATTAAAGTTCCTATAATATTCAGCCATCTCATTTTTTCCATATACATTAGTGTGTATGCATATTTTTGCATTTTTATTTATACACAGTTTTATATTTCTTATAACTTGCCTAATGATTTTTAAGAATTGTAAATAATCTGAGATTTTTATCCTACTTGTAAGATAACAAGTTAGCTTGCCCTAGTTTCATGGATGCTAACAGAAGGCAAAAGACTCCTGAATCAGAAACAAAGGACGGTTTATCGCTTACATCAATAGCAGTAACCAAAATATCAGCATTTACACTGGTTGCCTGAGTCCCAATTCCTATAAGCAGATGTGAGGAAGGCCAAGTGATGCCCGCACACGCAACGGGTTGCATTAGATTACAGGGGAGGAATACCAAATTTAGGAAATCTCAGGCTTTTAGAATGGGCTGCAAGCAAGCCTGCCCAAACGTTGTCCCTGAGGAAGACATTACTTATTTTCATAATGGATAGCAAACAAGCCTGGTCTCTGCCCTCAAATGAGACACTTTCTATCTTCAAAAGTTGTCTTCTATACAAACCTGAAACTTCTCTGAAAAGATAGAACAAAAGGCTGTCAGTACTTCCGTTCCCAAGACGCACAGAAACGCTAGAGATCCATAGAAATTGTCTTGCAATAATCATACCTGCTAGATTTCAAGTTACCATGAACCAGATCCCATCTTTTTCATCACCATATTCAATTTCTTCCCCACTGTCTAGTGCATAGTGCACAGTATAAGGAGCTAAGACTTACTGAGGTCTCATGATATGTCACAACTTTTCAAATACCGTGTATGTAAACTCAATTCTAACTACTATTATATAGTTACAAATGTTACCTTCATTTGGCACCTGAGGAAACTGAAGTCAAAATAATTTAGAAACTCATCTAAGACCAAACAACTAACAACAGTTGGAGCATATATATATATATATATATATATATATATATATACATATATATATATATATTTCTAGAAGACGTAAATTGGATTAATAGATGGCTGGAAAATTATGAAACAGAAAAGAAGGCTGTGTGATTATATGCATCAAGCTATGTATCAGGCTGCAATTATGAGTTTGAACACAGTGCAGTTCTTTCTCCAGACCTCACATACTATTAAAACCAGAGGCTAATGCATATTGTTTTACTATTTGTTGATTTCTGTAACTGCAATCTGCTCAGGGAATCTACAAGGATGCCTGTGCTGTAACATATCTAATGGAAGCTTTAGTGTCTAGGTTTAATTTGCCTGACTTGGCCAAAGTTCACGGTAAAAGACTAATTCTATCTGAAAAATACAAGAATTTATTTCATACTGATTGTTCTTAGCAGTATGTCCACTGGCAGAACATTAAAAAACAAGAAGAATGGCTCTGTTTTATTAGCTGTGGAATAAATGTACAATGGAAAAACTAGCTCATGCCTAAAAGAGAGAGAAGTCATTTCTGTGCTATGTAGCTGTCCCTGGATATAGACATGACTGTAGCTACACAAAGTATATACTGCTCTATGTCTCGATTTTTGTTTTTCAGAAATTATACTCTGTTCATTTCTAGTCCCCCTCTTCATAGAATGATCTCTTTTTTCCAGGTTGTAAATATAAAGTGGCATGCATTTGGATAGAAGGAGACTGAAAAATATATATTACTGCATATCAGCAGGGATATAATGGAGAAAAAGGTGGGAAAAAAGAGGAGTTTGGAAAATCAGGAAATTAAATAAATGTGCACATAATTCCATACCCCAATGTAGAACCATTATCATATTAACTTGTATTTTTTCCTCCAATATTTAAGTGATTCATCAACAAATTCACACAACACATACTTATTGAGCACCTACTATATGTCAGATACCATTTAAGGTGCTGGGCATATAGCAGTATACAAAATGAAACAAATATTCCTGCATACATTCTAGAGATGGTTTTCTAGATAGTACGTATAACATTTTGAATGCTATCTTTTAAACTTTTAATCATTTTCCAGGTTACTCATTGGTTTTCATAATCATCATTTTTAAAGGACTGAATGATCTTAACAAAATAGCCAATGATTTCAACTACTTTTTTTATGGTTGTTATATTTGCTGTTTGCAATTTCCTTTTCTTCTTTCCTTTCTTCCTTCCTTCTATTTTTATTTAAACATAATTTTTAGGAAATAGCCTCATACTGAACATCTTGTCAGACTGCTTTTTTCTCTGTATTTTATACAAGTGTGTTCTTTCAGCTCACATTTCCTTTGGACTTGTGCATGCTGCCTTTAGACAGTCTTCTCTGTTTTGGGCAAGATTCACATTACAGAGCCTGAATGTTAACACATTGAATTCTCTGACAGCAGAATTGACATTGAATAATTCCAGAGGTGCCAAAGAATGATTCTCCTGGGATTTCCTTTACCCATAGCTGATTTTTGAAATTTCAAGGTTAGAGCTTCACAACTGCCCTCCTTCAAAATGTACATACCACTGCAATACTAAAATCTAGCCTTATTATAATCATCTATGCATTTATAAGAACAAAGAAGGAGCAGGTTTGATAGAGCAGAAGAAGAAAGCAGAAAACGAATGGTGCCCATTTTGTCCTATGCATACAATCCAGGCAAGTTCATTTGTACATATGTATATATGAATGTTATTTCTTGCTTCATCATTGCTATGAAATACCTAGTATGGGATTATCTGACATTAAGAAAATCTGTCCAACTGTAAGCACGTGTGTAATTGGCTGGGTAAAGGGATCAGGTGTGAATCTCATCAGCGCAGTGTTTTAGTTGTCTAGAGTCAATAAATAGGAGGGATTTTATATACTGTCAGACTGTTATAATGATTAAGGATAAGAATAAGCTGGGAATGGGGTAGGCTCATAGATTGTTAGCACTATACGCTTTTCTAGTATAGTTATTTGATTTTCAAGTGGAGAAGCTGAGGACTAAAGAAACTGAGAGACTTAACTAAGTCATAAAAATAGAACAATATTTCCCTATTAGTATCCTTTTAGCTTGTGTTTACTGCCTCTATACTTGAATGAGCATTTGGATATTTTATAATGGCCTTTCAAAAACTCAATTTTTTCAGCTTTTTGAAGGAAAAGACTGTATCAGTAGATGCTCTTATTTAATTGTATTTTTCCTTTTCACCTGGAATCTCAATAATTTTTCCAAACCGCTTTGTGGGTATACGTTATGAAAATATGAAATAGAAAGGAAAAAGTGAAAAAAGAAAAAAAAATAGAATGAAGTAACAATTTTAAAGTAAATTGAGTGAATTCTTTCTCCTAATAATATATAAAACTTCAACATGTGTTTTCTATATAAAAGTTCCAGTTTCCTTTGTATTCCACTAGAAGGAGCCATTCAGTCGCAACTTTCAGGGCATACTTCCTTCCCAGAATAACATGAAGCATCTATTTTTTTCCTGTTAGACTTGAGCTAAGCATGAGAATCAATTTTCTTAAAACAAAGTTATCTCTATCTTTAATTAAGAATAAATACTTGTTTTAAATTGTTAATGGATTTGGGCTTTATTCTAATGCATGGTTATGCTCCTCTCTAAGAGTCTGTCCATCCTAACATGGGAGAACAAAAGGCAGAAAAGTAATCCATATATTTATAAGGGAGCAAAAGGGTGCAAATGAAAATTCTTGGAAACTGGAAGTTGGAAAAACTAGTTAGAGGAGCGTAGAAACCAAATGTCAAATGATTCTCCTATAGTGAATCTACTCATCAGCAATTCCTGGGGCAAGGAAATGGAGATGAAGACCTTCTTATAAAAAGCACTATTCTAATGTCCAGGAGCTGGACTGGACAAAAAAACTCAATTTCAGTTAACTTCCCAGTCATTACATGATGAAAATATGTCCCTTCCCTGCTGTCAATTTAGACTTCAGATGATTGAGATCAATGACTTGCTCACATTATTTCAATCTTCTTAGGAAACATATTTGCTTACTCCATGCTAGAGTCTAAATGTTTGTGTGCCTCCAAAACCTGTATGTTGGAATTTGATCACCAGTGTGGTGGTATTGGGAGGTGAGGGCTTTGCGGGGGTCTAATTACTAGTTAGATGGTGAAGCCCTCATTAATGGAATCAGTGACATTACAGAAGGGGCCCCAGAAAGCTGCCTTGCCCCTTCTACCATATAAGGACAGAGCTAGACAGTACCATCTATGAACCAGAGAGCAGGCCCTCACCAGACCACGACTCTGCCAGCACTTTGATCTTGGACTTCCCAGCCTCTAGCACTGTGAGAAATAAATCAATCTGTGGTGTTTTCAAGCCAGCCGGTTTATGGTATTTTGTTATAGTAGCCAGAATGGACTAAGACACTTTAAGATTCTACTTTAGACAGAAACAAAGTTCTGAACTATTTTCCTCATATTGTTTGTTAATGCTTGTTTTTATTGTTTACTGGATTGTTACTGAAAATAACTAAATAATATTTCCCCTTTTCCACATTTACTATGCTATCTTAGAGAGAGAGAGGGAGAGAGGTTATAGTTTATTGTTTTTTTCTCCACTCATATTTCTGGACAGTTATTTGTTCTTGAATAACGCATGCCAGTTGAATTTGCATATGCTTATATAATTTATAAATTGCCAGAACACAGTTTTGTAAAACTACCAAATTAAAATATTATGCCCATCAAAATGTAGCATTCCTTATTTAGGTTATGCACTATTTCTTAAGTAATGGGAGTGACTCAAAAGCATTTTATAATTATTTATTGAGACCTACTTTTGTAAAACAGGCCATAAAATCTATAATAGGCATTATATGCTAAATATTATTTCTCTAAAAATAAAATAAAAATTAAATTTTTAATTGTAAAATTTCATATCTAAGTGGTAGTTATCAAAGGCTATATTTAGATTCATAAATTACTGCTCCTCCAAAACAATATATAAATGAATACTTTGCTTTGTCTTTATTAGTTTGGTTACATATTTTCATGTATCTATTAGGTTTTTTTACTTGTTTTTAATTGATGTATAACAATTGTATATATCTTTGAGGTACATGTGACATTTTGATACATGTATATAATGTATAATGATCAAATCAGGGTAATTGGGATACCTGCCATCTCTTTTCTTCCTGTTGAGAACGTTGCAATCCTTCTCTTCTAGCTATTTTGAAATATAAAATAAATTTTAAACCATTAATCTCCCTACTATACTACTGAATACTAGAATTTATTTCTTCTTTCTAACTGTATTCTTGTACCTATTAACCAACTTCTCTTCATCACCCCTCCTCTCTACCCTTTCCCCTGGTAACCATTCTTCTCATCTCTACTTTCATGAGATCTACTTTTTTAGCTCCCACATATGAGTGAAAACATGCAATATTTGTCTTCCTGTGCCTGGCTAATTTTGTTTAACATAATGACTCCTAGTTGTGTCCATGTTGCTGCAAATGACAAAATTGTATTCTTTTTTATAGCTGAATAGTATTCCATTGTGTATATATACCACATTTTCTGTAGCAATTCATCCGTTGATAGACATGAAGGTTGATTTCTTATTTTGGCTATTGCGGCTAGTGCTACAATAAACATGAGCATGCAGATATCTCTTGAATATATTGATTTCCTTTCCTTTGGATATATACCCAGCAGTAAAATTTCTGAGTCATACAGTAGTTTTATTTTTAGTCTTTTGAGGAAACTCCATACTGTTCTCCAAGGTGACTGTACTACTTTAAATTTCTACCAAGAGTATATGAGAGCATTCTTCTTTCTCCCCACTCTCATTCATCTGTTATTAATTTTTTCTTTCTGTAATTGTTTTCCTTTTGATCGCAGCCATTTTAACTGGGTGAAATGGTATCTCATTGTGGTTTTGATTTGCATGTCTCTGATGATTAGTGGTGCTGAGCATTTTTTTTTTCTCGTTGACTGTATGTCTTCTTTTGAGAAATGTCTATTCAGGTCCTTTGTCCATTTTTAAATGGGATTATTTGGTTTTACTGCTATTGAGCTATTTGAGCAGATTATATACTCTACATATCAATCCTTTGTCAGATGGATAGTGTGCAAATGTTCTCTCCCATTCTGTAAGCCATCTCTTCACATTGTTGATTCTTTTGCTGTGGAGAAGCTTTCCAGTTTTATGTAATCTCATTTGTCTATTTTTGCCATTGTTGCCTATGATTTTGAGGTCTTTTCCAAAAAATCTGTAGTGTTTCCTCAAAGTATTTTACTAGTAGTTTCATAGTTTTAGGTCTAACATTTAAGTCTTTATCTCTTTTGAGCTAATTTTTTACATGGTGAAAGATAGGATGTAGTTAATTTTTCTTCATATGGACATACAGTTTTCCCAGTACCACTTATTAAAGGGACTGCTCTTTTCACAGTGTATGTTCTTTATGCATTTGTCAAAAAAGAGTTGGCTATAAATGTGTGAATTTATTTCTAGGTTCTGTATTCTGTTCCATTGGTCTACATGTCTGTGTTTATGCCAGTTTATGCTGTTTGGTTACTATAGGTTTGTAGTATAATGTGAAGTCAGGTAGTGTGATGCCTCCAGCTTTGTTTTTTGTTGTTGTTGTTGTTTGTTTTTTGTGGTTTTTTTTTTTGCACAGGATTGCTTTAGCCACTCAAGGTCTTTTGAGTTTCCATACAGATTTCAGGATTGTTTTTCCTAATTCTCTGAGTAATGTCACTGGTATTTTGATAGGGGTTGCATTGAATCTGTAGATTGCTTTGGGTAGTATGGAAATTTTTACAATATTAATTCTTCTAATCTATAAGCATGAGATATGGCTTTCATTTTTGTGTATTCTTCAATTTCTTTTATAAGTGTTTTATAGTTTTCCCCGTGGAAATCTTTCATTTCTTTGGTTAAATTTATTCCCAGATTTTTTTTGTAGCTATTGTAAATGAGATTTCTTTCTTGATTTTATTTTCAGGTTGATAGCTGTTAGCAAACAGAAACACTACTGATTTTTGTATGTTGATATTGGATTCTGAAACTTTATTGAACTCATCAGTTGTAAGAGTTTTTTGTTTGCATCTTTAGGATTTTCTAAATATAAGATTATGTTGTCTGCAAAGAAGAATAATTCAACTTCTTCCTTTCCAATTTGTATACCCTCCATTTCTTTCTCCTGCTTAATTGCTCTGGCTTGGACTTCCAGAACTATGTTGAATAAAGTGGTGGAAAGTACCGTCTTTGTCTTATTCCAGATCTTAGTGGAAAGCTTTTTCATTTTTTCTTTTTTGTTCAGTATGATATTAGTTGTGGGCTTGTCATATATGACCTTGTTGTTTTGAAGAATGCTTCTCCTATGTTCAGTTTGTTCAGGTTTTTTTCATGAAGGGATGTTGCATTATATCAAATACATTTCAGCATCTATTGGAATGATCATATGGTTTTGTCCTTGATTCTGTTGATGTGATGTATCGTGTTTATTGATTTGAATATGTTGAACCATCCTTACATCTCTGGGATAAATCCCGCTTGATCATGGTGAATGATCTTTTTAATGTGTTGCTGAATTCAATTTGCTGGTATTTTCTTAAGAATTTTTGCATATATGTTAATCAGGGATATTGGTCTGTAGTTTTCTTTTTTTGTTGTATCTTTGGATTTGATATCAGAGTAATGCTGGCCTCATAGAATGAGTTTCAAAGTATCCTCTCCCCTTTAATTTTTTGGAATAATTTGAGTATAATGATATTAGTTCACCTTTAAACATTTGGCAGAATTTAGCAGTGAAGCCTTCAGGTCCTGACTTTTCTCTGATGGGAGACATGTTAGTACTTCTTCAATCCCATTACTTATTATTGGTCTGTTCAGGTTTTCTATTTCTTTATGGTTCAATCTTGTAGGTTGTGTATGTCCAGAAATTGTCTTCTAGTTTTTCCAATTTGTTGATACATAGTCTTTTTTTGTTTTAAAAATATGAGTTAAATTTTTTAAGTATGAAGTAACTACTTATGGCAGTAAATATAATTTCTTATTTTAAAATAATACATATTGAGGTTAATTTGCATACAGTAAATTTGCCCCTTTTGGAGTACAGTTTTATGAGTTTTGACAAACAAATACAGTTGTGTTGCCACCATCACATTTAAGATATAGAAAATATCCATCATCCTCCCCAAATTCCCTTGTTCCCACTTATAGTCAATGCCCTTCCCAACCACCATCTCCTACCAACCTCAGATCTGTTTTCTATCTATAATTTCCTCTTTTTCAGAAGGTAATACAAATGGAATAATAAGTTATGTAACCATTTAAGTCTGGCCTTTCACTTAGCATAATGTCTTTGCTATTCATCCATGATTTTACATGTATCACTAATAGTTTGCTGCTTTCTGTGACTAAATAGTATTCCATTTTTTGAATGTACCACAATTCATTTTTCCATTCACTATATGATACACACAGAGAGAGGGATTGCTGAGTCATAATATTTGACATATATTTAACTTTATTTACTGTATTCCCCTACAAGAGCATTGTATAATTTTTCCTTTGATATTAAGGGTTTCCGTGTAACTTGCTTTAGCCAATAAAATGTGAATAAATATACCTGTGCAGCTTTGGAGTAAAAGCTTTAAGAAACAAAGCATGTGTCTTTTGCAAATATCTTTTACCAGTCTGTGGCTTGCCTTATTTTCTTGACAATATCTTTCACAGAGCAGAAGTATCCGATAAAAATCTGTTATTCAAAATATACAAAGAACTCTTAAAACTCAACAATGAAAAACACAAACAACCTGAATAGAAAAATGAGCAAAAAGATACCTTAAAAGATACCTCACCAAAGAAGATAAGCAGGTGACAAATAGCATATGAAAACATACTCCACATCATATATCATCAGAAATGCAAATTAAAACAACAATGAGAAACCACTACACAACTACAACTATTAGAAGGGCAGAAATCCGAAGCACTGACAACATCAAATACTGGCAAAGATGTAAAGCAACCGGAGCTCTCATTCATTGCTGATTGGAATGCAAAATGGTACAGCCACTTTGGAAGATAGTTGAGAATTTCTTATAAAACTAAACATACTCTTAGCATGTGATCTAGCAATCATATTCTTTGGTATTTACTGAAAGGAGTTGAAAACGTATGTCCACACAGAAACCTAAACATAAATGTTAACAGCAGCTTTAATTATAGTTGCCAAAACTTTGAAGCAACCAAAATGTCCTTCAGTAGGAAAGAATAAATAAACTGTGATACATTCAGACAAGAAAATCCCATCAGCACTAAAAAGATATGAGCTATCAAGCAATCAAAATACTTGGAGAAAACTTACACGCATGCGCTAAGTGGAAGAAGTCAACCTGAAACGCTTACACACTATATGATCCCAACTTCATGACATTCTGAAAAAGGGAAAAATACAGAGACAGAAGAAGATCAGTTGTTGCCAGGGTCTGGAGGGAATACAGAGGCAGAGGATGAATAGACAGACTGCTGAGGATTTTTAGGGCAGTGAAAATACTCTTTATGATACTATAATGATCCATAAATGCTATTAAAAATTTGTCCAAACCCATAGAATGTACAACACAAAAAGTATACCCTGATGTAAACTATGGACATTGGTGAATACGATGTGTCATTGTATTTTCATCAATTGTAAGAAACATACGATTATGTGGATGGTGTTGATAATAGAGGAGGTTATGCAGGTGAGAGGAAGAGGATATATGGGAAATCTCTGTAATTTGCTCCCAATTTTGCTGTGATCCTACAGTTGCTCTAAAGAATAAAGTCTATTAAAATCAAAAAACAAAAACAAAACAACCAAAAAAGAATGCATGATTCTTCCTCATGTATGTTTCTCTACTGAGAGAACCACAGGTACCTAATAAAGTTGCTCTTTCATCCTGGATCTAGGAATGAAGATGATAGATGAAGCAGGGCCACAATCAATCCACAGCCTCCATGTAACTTGAGTGAGAAACAAACATCTGCCAGCATGTAAAACTGAGGCTCTGAGTTTGTCACCATAACCTAGCCAAAGTTAACTGATAAACTGTGGAAACTCCTTTCTACTCCACTTAACTTCATGCATCATTTGAAGCCCACTTCCTTGGACTTCTTTCTTTATCCCCTTTAACTTGATCTATGATTTGTTTTTTTTTTTTGTTTTCTAACCTCTTCTTTGCTCCTTTCATTCTTATTTTCATTGGATTTTCTTTCTACTGCCATTCTTTACAAAACTAAATTTGTAAATCACACCTTTACCTCCACACACTAATTGTACTGTAGTAAATGTTTAATTAGTTTCACAATTTTGAATCTATAATCCCCTAGCTTGGACTATGTATTTGTGACATTAGATTGAACTTAAAAAACAATATTTGCCTTATATTATGTTTCTACTAAAAATCATTAGTAACCACTCATGATTTATAGGATTAATCTGACCATCTCACCTTTGTTAACAAGGTCCTTCAGTTGGTTTCTGAACTGCCTTCCCTGCCACTTCTACCATTGCAAGCATCTTCCATTTCTCTATTGAATTAACACTCTTCAAACTGTACAGGTATACTCCTTGTTTCAGGATTTGCAGCATATATTTCAGTCTCTTTTGAACCCTATTTCTTTCCATCATTTGAAATCCTCCAACACATATATCTTAAATTCCATTCTTTCCAAGAAATTCTTTCTACTGATTTCCTTGAGTTACCATTGACCCCTTCAAGCCACTCTCTGCAAAGCTGCAAGAATGACCTTTCAACGACACATATCCTTCATCCCTTCTCTCTACCCTACTTAAATTATTTCACTGGGCATTTAGGGAAAAAAATACTAAAAATCTTGAAGAATCTACAGAGGTATTATCTGTTCTACTCTCTCTCTAGCATTCTAGCCACAGGTACCATCTTGTGGCTCTACTGAATACCATATTCTCTCCAACCACAGGATCTTAGTGCTTGTTATTTGCTTTCCTTAGAATGTGATTCTTTGTCGTTCTATAGTTAACCCCTTCTTTTCCTTCAGTTCTTAATTCTCTTATTACTTCCACAGAGAAACCTCTGACCTCTCTGTGCAGATCCAAACTTTTTATTTTGATCATGCCTTTATAGCATGATTTATCTACCCCTCCTTCAGAGTATGTAGTATTGTTGTACTTTTATATTTATTTTTGGATTATTACATTATCTACCTGCTTGGACTTCAGCATTATAGACCTGCTCTACCCATGGAACAGTATCTGGCATGCTGTACACCCTCAATAAATATTTGTTGACTGTTACTCAAAAAGTCCATGATGCCTGGGCCCTTCCTTCTGTCTTTATCTTTCATTTGTTATGCATTATCATACTGATTGACAGTCTTATATTGATTTGTAATTTAAGTCTTTGTCACTCTTCCTTGCTAATTTTTTTGTTTGCATCACTGCTATTCCAACAAACACATCCAAGCATCCTAAGTTATTAGTCGAATAAACGCATGCTTTCTGGCTATTACTGAATAAGAGTACTCACCAACTGAAGGTTAGTAGATGCAGCCAGATTTATATATTTAAACTCAACAACATCTTGCTATTTTAAAAAATTTAGTCCATAGTGTCATTTACATACTCAAACAAAACTACTCAAGCAAAAACTCTTGAGCACTATCATCCCAAGCACTGCGATTAGGGTTGCCAGATAAAATCTCAGCCATGAATAATTTTTTAGTGTATGCTTTCTGTATAGCTTAGGACACACTTATAGTAAATTTATGAGTGGTTTTTCTGAAATTCAAGTTTAACTGGGAATCTTTTATTTTTATTGGTGAAATCTGGCAACTATAACTATGATACTCACTGAAATGGTAATGGTTGTTCTTCACTGAGCACTGACTGTGAGTCACACATGGTACCAAGTGCTGTCTATTGACCAGGGTTCTATGAAAATTTACTTTGGGCACATGAAAAAACTGAGGCACAGATTAAAGAACTTGCTCAGAGTCACAAAACTATCAAGTGACAACTCTGATTTATGTCTTGAGATGAGAAGAACGTAGAGCCAGCACTACTAATCGTTATAAAATACCACCTCATCTAACACAATCTAAGCTATTGCACATACCCTCAGCAACAGTGAAATCAACAGGAAGATGTTTGTCATCAACTGTTTCAAGTACCTTTTAACTATAATCATCCAGAGATCCTAATGTAAAACCCAGCATCCGATTTGTAAAACTTCAAATGTATTTCTGACACTCCTTAGGAAGTTTCAGGTAGTTTATCAACTATAGGGGTTCTGAATTGATATAAGTGTGTTAGAGCATCACTATTTGTGTAAGTTATAATGTTGGGTTTAGTTGCCTATGAGTTAACTGAGAATTTTCTATGACATTAAAAAATCTAGATATAGTTTTCATGTCCTTAGATCAATTTAATGGATATGTTTCCAGTGACAAAAACATCTCCAAAATCATATTTTCTTTGAGGACTTATAAAGGTTTGCACTACACTCGCCATTTTATTCCATTGATAACTTTCGATATTATCAGATCACCCAGTGCTTTCCACTGTAACCACATAAACATTATGTCAATTAGTTATTACTTTGAACCCCTTTTATAAGTATTAATTTTAAATTCCTTCTCTTTAAATTAAATTGTTAGGTGACTTAATCCCTGAGTTCTATGCAAAAGGTGGCTTGGGCATAGTAATGGATTAAGTGATTCTTGTGCAGAGTTTAAATATCAGCTTGAAAGTTGGTAAAGAAAAAATTTAAGATATATCATATGTCAAGAATGTTGGGCCTTCAACCTCTGCTCCTTCATCATTATGTAACTTTCACTAAGTGGAGGTCTTAGACACAGACATAAAATGGCTCTATTCCACACTGAGTCCATCCATGTTCTCTCCTTGGTTCACTTAACTTAGCTCTCTTGCTTTTTCTCACCATCTTCACATCACCCCCCTGAGATCTTGTCACTCAGCACACCCAGGGATAAGCTGCCTCCTTTTTCTTATGTAGTGACAATGTCACAAAGTCAACAGTGCAAGCTCTTGAGTCAGACAAACTTGAGTTCAAATCCCAGCTTTATTTATCAGCTGTGTAACCTAGGGCTGTTTATTTAACTAAAATGTTAACTAATCAGTATTACTAGCATTTCATGTCAGAAAAAATGTGCAGAATATGCCATTGTAAATGTGAAAAAAAAATGCCTTAGTTTTTACTTTCCTGTTGGACTACACTCTAATTTCCCCTGTCAATTTTCCTATTAATAAGTTGCATTTAATGTCAATATGTTTTTAGCCTTAAAAAAGCAACACACGAAAGCTATTAAATTTTATAATATCAGTGAAAAACACAGTGCAGAACACATTGCTGATCATGTTCACATCTACCCATTCCTTGGATGTTAGACTCTTCAACTACTAGAATAAATTACTAAAGGTACATTCTTCCTGAATAAAGTGCTTCCTTGGTTTACAAGACAGAATCAGGGGGTGGAGCCAAGATGGCCGAATAGGAACAGCTCCAGTCTACAGCTCCCAGCGTGAGCGATGCAGAAGATGGGTGATTTCTGCATTTCCAACTGAGGTACCAGGCTCATCTCGCTGGGGAGTGTTGGCAAGTGGGTGCAGGACAGTGGGTGCAGCGCACCCAGCGTGAGCTGAAGCAGGGCGAGGCATCACCTCACCCGGGAAGCACAAGGGGTCAGGGAATTCCCTTTCCTAGTCAAAGAAAGGAGTGACAGAGGGCACCTGGAAAATCAGGTCACTCCCACCCTAATACTGTGCTTTTCCAATGGTCTTAGCAAATGGCACACCAGGAGATCATATCCCCTGCCTGGTTCAGAGGGTCCTGCACCCACGGAGCCTTGCTCATTGCTAGCACAGCAGTCTGAGATCAAACTGCAAGGAGGCAGTGAGGCTGGGGGAGGGGCGCCCGCCATTGCCAAGGCTTGAGTAGGTAAACAAAGCAGCAAGGAAGCCCGAACTGGGTGGAGCCCACTGCAGCTCAAGGAGGCCTGCCTGCCTCTGTAGACTCCACCTCTGGGAGCAGGGAATAGCCAAACAAAAGGCAGCAGAAACCTCTGCAGACTTAAACGTCCCTGTCTTTGAAGAGAGTAGTGGTTCTCCCAGCACGCAGCTGGAGATCTGAGAATGGACAGACTGCCCCCTCAAGTGGGACCCTGACCCCCAAGTAGCCTAACTGGGAGGCACCCCCCAGTAGGGGCAGACTGACACCTCACAAGGCTGGGTACCCCTCTGAGACGAAACTCCCGGAGGAATGATCAGGCAGCAACATTTGCTGCTCACCAATATCCGCAGTTCTGCAGCCTCCGCTGCTGATACCCAGGCAAACAGGGTCTGGAGTGGACCTCCAGCAAACTCCAACAGACCTGCAGCTGGGGGTGCTGACTGTTAGAAGGAAAACTAACAAACAGAAAGGACATCCACACCAAAAACCCATCTCTACGTCACCATCATCAAAGACCACAGGTAGATTAAACCACAAAGATGGGGAAAAAACAGAGCAGAAAAACTGGAAACTCTAAAAATCAGAGTACCTCTCCCCCTCCAAAGGAACGCAGCTCCTCGCCAGCAATGGAACAAAGCTGGACGGAGAATGACTTTGATGAGTTGAGAGAAGAAGGCTTCAGACAATCAAACTACTCCTAGCTAAAGGAGGAAGTTCGAGCCCATGGCAAAGAAGTTAAAAACATTGAAAAAAAAAATTAGACGAATGGCTAACTAGAATAACCAATGCAGAGAAGTCCTTAAAGGACCTGATGGAGCTGAAAACCAAGGCACGAGAAATATGTGACGAATGCACAGGCCTCAGTAGCCGATTCGACCAACTGAAAGAAAGGGTATCGGTGATGGAAGATCAAATGAATGAAATGAAGCGAGAAGAGAAGTTTAGAGAAAAAAGAATAAAAAGAAACAAACAAAGCCTCCAAGCAATATGGGACTATGTAAAAAGACCAAATCTACGTCTGATTGGTGTACCTGAAAGTGAGGGGGAGAAGGGAACCAAGTTGGAAAACACTCTGCAGGATATTATCCAGGAGAACTTCCCCAGTAATCTAGCAAGGCGGCCAACATTCAAATTCAGGAAATACAGAGAACGCCACAGAGATACACCTCGAGAAAAGCAACTCCAAGACACATAACTGTCAGATGCACCAACGTTGAAATGAAGGAAAAAATGTTAAGGGCAGCCAGAGAGAAAGGTCGGGTTACCCACAAAGGGAAGCCCATCAGACTAACAGCTGATCTCTTGGCAGAAACTCTACAAGCCAGAAGAGAGTGGGGACCAATATTCAACATACTTAAAAGAATTTTCAACCCAGAATTTTGTATCCAGCCAAACTAAGCTTCATAAGTGAAAGAGAAATGAAATACTTTACAAACAAGCAAATGCTGAGAGATTTTGTCACCACCAGGCCTGCTCTAAAAGAGCTCCTGAAGGAAGCACTAAACATGGAAAGGAACAACCGGTACCAGGCACTGCAAAAACATGCCAAATTGTAAAGACCAGCGAGGCTAGGAAGAAACTGCATCAACTAATGAGCAAAATAACCAGCTAACATCATAATGACAGGATCAGATTCACACATAACAATATTTACCTTAAATGTAAATGGGCTAAATTCTCCAATTAAAAGACACAGACTGGCAAATTGGATAAAGAGTCAAGACCCATCAGTGTACTGTATTCAGGAAACCCATCTCACATGCAGAGACACCCATAGGCTCAAAATAAAGGGATGGGGGAAGATCTACCAAGCAAATGGAAAATAAAAAAGGCAGGGGTTTTTCATCCTAGTCTCCGATAAAACAGACTTTAAACCAACAAAGATCAAAAGAGACAAAGAAGGCCATTACATAGTGGTAAAGCAATCAATTCAACAAGAAGAGCTAACTATCCTAAATATATATGCACCCAATACAGGAGCACCCAGATTCATAAAGCAAGTCCTTAGAGACCTACAAAGAGACTTAGTCTCCTACACAATAATAATGGGAGACTTTAATACCCCACGACAACATTAGACAGATCCACGAGACAGAAGGCTAACAAGGATATCCAGGAATTGAACTCAGCTCTGACTAATAGACATCTACAGAACTCTCTACCCCAAATCAACAGAATATACATTCTTCTGAGCACCACACCACACTTACTCCAAAATTGACCACATAGTTGCAAGTAAAGCACTCTTCAGCAAATGTAAAAGAAGAGAAATTATAACAAACCATCTCTCAGACCACAGTGCAATCAAACTAGAACTCAGGATTAAGAAACTCACTCAAAACTGCTCAACTACATGGAAACTTAACAACCTGCTCCTGAATGACTACTGGGTACATAACAAAATGAAGGCAGAAATAAAGATGTTCTTTGAAACCAATGAGAACAAAGACACAACATACTAGAATCTCTGGGACACATTCAAAGCAGTGTGTAGAGGGAAATTTATAGCACTAAATGCCAACAAGAGAAAGCAGGAAAGATCTAAAATTGACACCCTAACATCACAATTAAAAGAACTAGAGAAGCAAGAGCAAACACATTCTAGCAGAAGGCAAGAAATAACTAGGATCAGAGCATAACTGAAGGAAATAGAGACACAAAAAACCCTTCAAAAAATCAATGAATTCAGGAGGTGATTTTTTGAAAAGATCAACAAAATTGATAGACCGCTAGCAAGACTAATAAAGAAGAAAAAAGAGAAGAATCTAATAGACACAATAAAAAATGATATCACCACCGATCCCACAGACATACAAACTACCATCAGAGAATACTATGAACACCTCTACGCAAATAAACTAGAAAATCTAGAAGAAATGGATCAATTCCTCGACACATACACCCTCCCAAGACTAAACCAGGAAGAACTTGAATCTCTGAATAGACCAATAACAGGCTCTGAAATAGAGGCAATACTTAATAGCTTACCAACCAAATAAAGTCCAGGACCAGATGGATTCATAGCCGAATTCTACCAGAGGAACAAGGAGGAGCTGGTACCATTCCTTCTGACACTATTCCAATCAATAGAAAAAGAGGGAATCCTCCCTAACTCATTTTGTGAGGCCAGCATCATCCTGATACCAAAGCCTGGCAGAGACACAACCAAAAAAGAGAATTTTAGACCGATATCCCTGATGAACATCGATGCAAAAATCCTCAATAAAATACTGGCAAACCGAATGCAGCAGCACCATCAAAAAGCTTATCCACCATGATCAAGTGGGCTTCATCCCTGGGCTGCAAGGCTGGTTTAACATAAGCAAATCAATGAATGTAATCCAGCATATAAACAGAACCAATGAAAAAAACCACATGATTATCTCCATAGATGCAAAAAAGGGCTTTGACAAAATTCAACAGCCCTTCATGCTAAAAACTCTCGATAAATTAGGTATTGATGGGACGTATCTCAAAATAATAAGAGCTATCTATGACAAACCCACAGCCAATATCGTTCTGAATGGGCAAAAACTGGAAGCATTCCCTTTGAAAACTGGCCCAAGACAGGGATGCCCTCTCTCACCACGCCTGTTCAACATAGTGTTGGAAGTTCTGGCCAGGGCAATCAGGCAGGAGAAGGAAATAAATGGTATTCAATTAGGAAAAGAGGAAGTCAAATTGTCCCTGTTTGCAGATGACATAATTGTATATCTAGAAAACCCCATCATCTCAGCCCAAAATCTCCTTAAGCTGATAAGCAACTTCAGCAAAGTCTAAGCATACAAAATCAATGTGCAAAAATCACAAGCATTCTTATACACCAATAGCAGACAAACAGCCAAATCATGGGTGAACTCCCATTCACAATTGTTTCAAAGAGAATAAAATACCTAGGAATCCAACTTACAAGGGATGTGAGGGACCTCTTCAAGGAGAACTACAAACCACTGTTCAATGAAATAAAAGAGGATACAAACAAATGGAAGAACATTCCATGCTCAGGGGTAGGAAGAATCAATATTGTGAAAATGGGCATACTGCCCAAGGTAATTTATAGATTCAATGCCATCCCCATCAAGCTACCAATGACTTTCTTCACAGAATTGAAAAAAAATACTTTAAAGTTCATATGGAACCAAAAAAGAGCCCACATTGCCAAGTCAATCCTAAGCCAAAAGAACAAAGCTGGAGGTATCACGCTACCTGACTTCAAACTATACTACAAGGCTAGAGTAACCAAAACAGCATGGTACTGGTACCAAAACAGAGATATAGACCAATGGAACAGAACAGAGCCCTCAGAAATAATTCCAGATATCTACAACCATCTGATCTTTGACAAACCTGACAAAAACAAGAAATGGGGAAAGGATTCCCTATTTAATAAATGGTGCTGGGAAAACTGGCTAGCCATATGTAGAAAGCTGAAACTGGATCCCTTCCTTACACCTTATATGAAAATTAATTCAAGATGGATTAAAGACTTAAATGTTAGACCTAAAACCATAAAAACCCTAGAAGAAAACCTAGGCAATACCATTCAGGACATAGGCATGGGCAAGGACTTCATGTCTAAAACACCAAAAGCAATGGCAACAAAAGCCAAAATTGACAAATGGGATCTAATAAAACTAAAGAGCTTCTGCACAGCAGAAGAAACTACCATCAGAGTGAACAGGCAACCTACAGAATGGGAGAAAATTTTTGCAATCTACTCATCTGACAAAGGGCTAATATCCAGAATCTACAATGAACTCCAACAAATTTACAAGAAAAAAACCAACAACCCCATCAACAAGTGGGCAAAGGATATGAACAGACACTTCTCAAATGAAGACATTTATGCAGCCAAAAGTCACATGAAAAATGCTCATCATCACTGGCCATCAGAGAAATGCAAATCAAAATCACAATGAGATACCATCTCACACCAGTTAGAATGGCAATCATTAAAAAGTCAGGAAACAACAGGTGCTGGAGAGGATGTGGAGAAATAGGAACACTTTTACACTGTTGGTGGGACTGTAAACTAGTTCCACCATTGTGGAAGTCAGTGTGGTGATTCCTCAGGGATCCAGAACTAGAAATGCCATTTGACCCAGCCATCCCATTACTGGGTATATACCCAAAGGATTATAAATCATGCTGCTATAAAGACACATGCACACGTATGTTTATTGCACCACTATTCACAAAAGCAAAGACTTGGAACCAAGCCAAATGTCCAACAATGATAGACTGGATTAAGAAAATGTGGCATATATACACCATGGAATACTATGCAGCCATAAAAAGGATGAGTTCATGTCCTTTGTAGGAACATGGATGAAGCTGGAAACCATCATTCTCAGGAAACTATCGCAAGGACAAAAAAACCTAACACCGCATGTTCTCACTCATAGGTGGGAATTGAACAATGAGAACACATGGACACAGGAAGGGGAACATCCCACACTGGGGCCTGTTTTGGGGTGGGGGCAGGGGGGGAGGGATAGCATTAGGAGATATACCTAATGTTAAATTATGAGTTAATGGATGCAGCACACCAACATGGCACATGTATACATATGTAATAAACCTGCACGTTGTGGACATGTACCCTAAAACTTAAAGTATAATAATTTAAAAAAAAAGAAGACAAAATCCGAGCAAATATCTCTTATTCTGCTAAAAGCATTACCGTTGGTTTTTTCAAAGTATGTAGAATCTTAGCACTCTCTAATTACAAATATATTGATGTTCTTTCTTTCATATTGAATGTCCCCTGCACCACCTCTAGCATATTTTCTTTTTTTTCAGCTTGATGAAAAATTTCCCATCCATTAATACTTTCATAAAACAATTCATCATGTTTGGAATATAATTACTCAGATCAAACGTGTCTTGATCTCTCTCTCTCTTTCTTTTTGTCTCTCTGTCTCTTCCTTTCTCTCTCTCACTCTTTCTTTCTCTTTCCAACCTTCCAACCACCCCTTGGACTCTCTTTCACACTCAGTCCCCTCTGCCCTCTGCTTTTAGACCTCATTGTCTTTAACACACCACTCTCTTCTTAAACAAAAACCTAATCTTTTCTTCCTAGTAGTATTTGTAACTAGTAGATTTAGGTGTTAACTTTTCCTCATGCTTAACCATCCATTTATCTCCTACATCAATAGAGATTGTAAAAGTCCAAATTTGCCCATTCATTTAGTAAAGTTTCATGTCTGAAAAACACACACACACACACCAAAAAACAAACAAACAAACAAACAAACAAACAAAAACTCCCAGTGCTTTTAGTAGCAGATAGTTTGCCACAAAAGAAACTTTTAAAATATTCATCATCTGCAAAATTCATTACAGGCCCACTAACTGCTGAAATTGCTACTTATGATGATGGTATTATCATCTCCATTTGGTCCAGTCTTTATCATAAATGCTATTCTTAATAAATAATAAGTACTTGAAACTCTTCTTTTTGGAAAAATCAATTAATAATGTTTGAGAGGGTGGCATTATTACCAAGTTATACTGTGTAAATTAAAGTAAATATTCTCAAAGTCCTTTATGCTAAAACTCTGTGCTTAATATTTTCAAGAAAGGAAAATTGAATATGTGTGTTAGGTATCCAATTCTTGTTTTCATTCCTTCAATAAACATTTGTTAAGAGACTCATGTGCTTCATACTTTGGATAAATCACTAAGGAGAGATTGTTGAGCAAGATGTCATATCCAGGTCACTGTATTTATGTATTGTGCATTTCAAAGGAAAAAAGTCCATATCAAATAAATGATTAACATTTTATCTGTGTAACTCTATGAAGAAATTAGTTGGTTCTATGAGAGTGTCTGATGGACTGGATGCAGAAATGAGGGTAAATCAATGAAATATAAAAACCCAGAATTCTCACGTCGAATAAAATAAGAATGACCAGATAATCACATGGTCTGAATTCTTTATAAATAAAAATTGATTTCTAATATGTGTTTATTTAATTCAAACATATAAATAATTAAAGACAATGGGAGTAATCGATGTTATACCTGGATTAAGCCAAAAAGCTCCTTGAAGAAAAGAATTTATATAACAAAATTGTACTATCTTTATCAATTTGGGGGTAGGTCATAACTCCTTTGGAAGAATCATAGTTTCAAAATTTAAATGTAAGTCAATGAGAAGATATTATTTGATACAGTGATGCCAGGTTAACTTTCTTTAACTACAACTACTTCCGGACTGTACCGCATGTAATGAAGTTATAATTATGACTAGAAGATTACCTATATCTGAAAGTCAAATATGTGATGGAAAAGGAATCTCACTCATAAGCTAACACATGTTATTAAGCTCCTCCACTGGGCCATATCCAAGGCTTTGTGTTTGTGGTAATATTACGTTTCTCTGGGGAAAATCAGGAAGCCTTTCCTCAATGGAATCATATTTTCCTTGGGTTTTAGTGTGAGTAGGTGTTCATCAGTCTGAGAGGAGGGGGAGAAACATTCCAGGGCTATAAAACAGCTTGAAAAAATACATGGAAATTTGAAAGGACATTGCATGTTCACAAGGCAGTGAAAATAGGATGGAATATTGGGAAGCAATAACAGCATTTTGTATGCTATATTAAAGAGTTTAGATTTTATTGTGTTTTAATTGGTGAACCAACAGCAATTTCCAGCTAGCTAAGTGACAAGATCATATTTGCGTTTTAGAAAGTTTTCTCTGCTATTAACGTAATCTGTGACCTGAGGACTGGACAGACCACCATGAAACAGATGGAACTACAGTGATAATCTGGCTAAGAGATGGCTTCACTCCATACAATCCATAACCTTTGGTTATTACATCTGGGTTACGGTTATTCCTAATGTGAAGTCACAGGGAAGTTTATAACCACATGTAGTACCATATAGGATTGTGAGACTATTTTTGAGACTAATAAAAAAAATACTTAAACATACCCCCAACTTGACTATTTAAAATTAGTGTCAAGAGTCAATAGTTTCTGACCAGGGAGGCAGAAAGCCATAACAGAGATTGTAACCCTCATAAGCAGTATGAATTTGATCTTACATCCAAACACTGAAGTCAGGGCTTCAGATTTTATACCATTTCTTAAACATTAAACAAAAGCTAAATTGTTTAGACCTGCTTATGTTACTTTTATTATCCTCTTCAGATGACTTCAATTTATACATATTTTTAATGTTGTGGTGACCAACATCAGTTTCGTCACCAGGGCAGCTGGTGGGATCTAAAGTTGCTGGGCAACATCTTTGCTCTGGGTTTCTAGGCAACATGCTTTGCATGTGGTCAGAGTTAAAGTTTGTTGTAGTCTAGGGTGTTTGGACTGCTGCAGAAATGTTTCTTTTGGGTTTTGTTTTGTTCTGTTGTTTTAAAGTTTCAACCATGTTTGTTAATGTGTATTATAAAATGCAGAAAATTGCCTACCATAAAGAAAGTTTCAGGTCGGAAAAAAAAAAAAAAAACATGAGTGGTACTTTTCCAAATATTAAAGTCTATAGAGAGTCAGTTTCATGATAACTATATTTTGAGCCAGTTTTTCTGCTTCTCTGACATTAGCATTTTTCTGCATACATATTTCCCCTGTTTCTCAAGAAAATCAATGATACCCTCCCAGCATGTGGTTTGGATGAAATACAAGGCAAAATGAAGAGAGCTTCCTTTAAATGAGCCACTGAGTTCTTTAATCAAGCTGGGTTCAGGCCCTGCTGAGGAAAAATCAAGCCCTTTTTTCATCAAGCAAGGAGCATGCAATTGGAAGAGGGAAACCTCCTAAATACATAAGAAGTGGACGCATGGCTTTTCTCTGGTACTGGAATGCAGAAGAGCCTGCAAAGCCTGTAGCATAATCTCAGGGGTGTCCATTCCCATTCTGTTGAATCCTGTTTGGGGACTGTGAATCTGGACCTATGCCAGTTGACCTTTTGAATCACTGATTAACTCTTCCAGCTTGTGAAACACCAAAAAAATCTAGTTACAGAAGATGGATTCAACCCCACCTCTCTTGTATCAAACAGATGCAAATGACCCCAGAATATAGCCCCTGAAATAGCCTTCTTCCTTAGGAAAAATCAGGTCATTAACTTACATACTTTATTGGTAGTAACATGAAGTTTTAAAATAGTGTTGGAATGGAAGTCAGAAGGACCCTCCCTACCAGTAGATCACCAAATGCATTCAAGCTCCTAGTATTTCCCTCATATTAGAGTCCTTCTTCCTTCTAGCTGACCAGAGTCTCATTTATACCTTGGGAGTCATCCGTACTACACTATGTGTGGCTCAATGAAAATACACTGCTATTTTATGCTTGTTTTCTGATTCACTTCTGCTACCTAAACATTCTATTTCACTCCTGTGTTTTTCTTTTTTCTGAACCTTAATTTTTACTTCAAAATGTCACTCTGAGGTCACCTCTTCTGTGAAAATTGCTTCAATAACTATATACAGGTTCTACTTCTTCCTGTAGTCTCATCTCATCTTGTTTTCCCTTGATAGCATGTCCATACCCTCCAGTCTCTCTGAGGCTCTTCTTTCTTAATTTCAAGATCCTAAGCCAGAGCTGGTATATAAAAGCTATTTAATACAAACCTTCCAAATGAACCAAGGAAACTCTTGGTTAAGACCACTATTTTAAGTTAATTTGATGTATGATTTAAGCAAACTTTTTCCTTTTGCTGGGAGTAAGTTTTCACATCTATAAAATGAGTATGAACAAGAGGATCTCAACAATTTCTTCTACGGTAGCCATTAGCCTTGTTCATAAATATCCTGGTGCTCCACCTACCAGGCCCATGTTAGTCTGAAGTATGGCATGATCATGTGACTTTAGTATAAGTGACATATGCCCCTTGTAAGACATTGCAATGTTCACTCTTTCCTTCTTTCTCCCTCCCTTGTGGTGACCGGAAGAAGGGATTGAGATGGAGCAACGCACCACAATGGACTGTGTCGGATAAATAGCGTGAGTGAAAATGTTTGTTGTTTTTCAGATTTGGGGGTTATTTTTGTTTTGTTTTCTTTTGTTTCGTTTTTTGTTGTTTTATTGAGACGGAGTCTCGCTTTGTCGCCCAGGCTGGAGTGCAGTGGCGCGACCTCGCCTCACTGCAAGCTCCACCTCCCGGGTTCACGCCATTCTCCTGCCTCAGCCTCCCGAGTAGCTGGGACTACAGGCGCCCGCCACCACGCCCGGCTAATTTTTTGTATTTTTAGTAGAGACAGGGTTTCACCGTGTTAGCGAGGATGGTCTCGATCTCCTGACCTTGTGATCCGCCCGCCTCGGCCTCCCAAAGTGCTGGGATTACAGGCGTGAGCCCCCGCTCCCGGCCGATTTGGGGGTTATTTGTTAACACAGTGTAGCACAGCCTTCACTAAGTTCAACACTTACATTTCATGATTCTATTTTATTTAAGAGAAAACACACTTCCATTACAAGGCTAATATCAGGCCATAAAAGTATGGTTTCCAAAAATCGATTACATTAATATGCCCTGTAGAAGGGTTATTTTTAAAACAATCAACAACACTTGAAGCACAAGTATGCTTCTATTTAATGACAGGCAATTATAATAAAATAAAAAGACTTCAAAATTAGTTTTATATAAACCATAAAGAGAAATGGGGTATAGAGAATATTTTCCTCTTCTGCTTTTAATTTATATCCAGAAAAGATGGTTTAGTTTCTATCTTTTGGAAAACAATGTTGCACATGGACTCAATTTTACTAAAAATGCAGTGTTTGTGTATATTATTTTCCAAGTCATTCCTCTTTCCAAGAAATATGGCTAAGTTTTCCCTTTTTGACTACATTTTCATGATTTCATGTGTTATATGGTAATGTTTTAAATATAAAAGGAATTTTAAAAATATATTTCCCCTAACTTCAAAACTATCACCAAAAAGTTGTACCAATGTCAGAAAATCCAAGTAAATTTTTTTAAAACTTAGGCTTCCATATATTTCTAATTTTAGAGGCTAATCATTGAATAGACTGAACAACCAAAAGAATGCTTATATTTTTTCTATTTTATTCAGCAATTTTTATAATGACAAATTGATTTTTAATTTATTTTACATTTTATTTGAAAATAAATTCATCTGGGGAGATCTTTTTTGGGGTTATCAATGAATTAAATCTTGCTTTCCACTGGTTGTAAAACTTTTCCTTTTTCTAACCTAGACTCTGATAGCCAAGAATGAAATTGCTATTATGCTTTGACTGTCAATATTTATCCAAGACATTTCAGATCTTCACTTTTCTTTAGGCTAACCATTAACACAGCACTTCTATTTTTATTCTAGAATCTGAATCGCACTGCTTCTTTGTGTACTAAGGTTTAAGGAGGCACAGATCATAAAGACAGCTCTTTGACCTAACAAACTGACTTCAAACTCCATAGGTTCAGCCAACCAGTCAAGTATCCTTGGAGAATTACTTACTCTCTGGAAACCTTAGGTTCCATTTTTACAAATATCAGTACTGATAATTATCTGCCTCATGCATTTGTTATTAGAGATCAATGGGATGTGCCATTTAATTCCAGAACTATAAGTTCTATAAATGTGTGTTGCTTGGCTCCTTCCCTAGTCCCAGTATTCACCATATCTCATACGGAGGAACCCTTGTATGATACGTGTTGAGTCAATGATTGTATAATCATTTGAATCAAAGGAGTTAATGATGTATCAATGCTTGAATAAAACTTTTTATAATATTTAAAATATTGGATAAGCTCTACAAGTGATAGTTATAATTATGACTGTCATGATACAATATTTACTTTTACTCTTAAATTCTCCCAAGATTTTATAGTTTGGCACTTTTATAAAAAATATTTCCAGCCTGGAAAACATAGTGAGACTGTGTCTCTACAAATAATAATAAAAAATTAGCCAGGTGTGGTGGTGTGCCCCTGTGCTTTCAGCTACTCAGGAGGCTGAGGTGGGAGGATCACTTGAACCCAGGCAGTTGAGACTTCAGTGAGCTGTGATCATGTCACTGCACTCCAGCCTGTATGACAGAGTGAGACCCAATCTCTCACTCTCTCTCTCTCTATAGATAGATAGATAGATAGACAGACAGACAGATAGATCAATTTTTATATTTTTGATAAACCATATTGCTAAGGCCTAAGATCATGGACTATTGTAAAGAAAACCCTTATAGAACTTTCAAGAAAAGCCACTCATTATTTTCTGTATTCTGTCAGTCCACAAAGATTGTTATCATCTTTACTTTCAGGATTTACGTTACTTTAGAGATGTCTATTTAATTGATTTAAATGAAAATGTAAGTATTGATAATATATTCTGTGTATGATGCTTTTAGACACATAATCTACAGATTTATTTTCTTCATGTGACCCACACTCACTCTCTCTGTCTCTCTGTCTCTGTCTCTCCCTCTCTCTCTCTCTCTCTCTGTTTCTTTCTCTCTCCTCTTATAAGCATCCTTCTAGAGACTAGAGGAGAGTTTGACAAGATCACCCTATGGAAAAAGCATCAGCACATAGCCACACATGCTGTTTACCTCATGGTGTTGCCATTTCACTTGTGGACTATAAATACTTAAACACTGAATAACACACCCCTCCTGAAGTTGACCTCTTCTGTAGACTGAGTTGCTTGGCTCAGGAATTTTGCTATTCCCTATGAAGTACTGTGATGAACCAAAAAAGTAATGAGCAGAACTTTGAAATTCCCTCCTGGTTCATGCTAAATGAGGATAGCAGAGCAAAGGCAACTCTTTGTGATGCAAGACAAATCCAAAAACCTGTAGCTACACTATGCTCCCCCATGCCCAAGCCCAAAATGATTAGTAAAACTGCTTACAAATCTTGAGAAGAAAAATGGCAAAGAAACCAGACAACGTATGCATTTTTTGTCACCACACATATATTTACAAATGATCCACATTTATTTGTATGCTTGAATTTTATCATTTTATGCTATTCCAGTAGTATTTGCCAGTGTGGTCATACCTGGGTATCTTTGTTTCACTGTTCAATGGAGCAAACTCTAATTACAAGTTTTCAGAACTTTTTGCACCAGCTAACTTGGCTAGTACTATAAAAAGACGTTTACAAGTCAATTGAAGAAACATATTTCTTTTCTGTAAGTAAACTAGCAAAACTCCCCAGCAACATACTGGAGACTTATAGGTAAGAAGAATGAAGGATCTCAGGTTATTCTAGTCCAAGATTCCTTTAGGGAAAAGCATATAAATGTTTTTAACAGATCCACCCTTCTAAGTTATTTCTTCATTTATTGTTCTTGGTTACCTGGCTCCAACGCATTAAAGAAGGTCTTCAGGATGAGGATGGTGTCTGGAGTCTGGCTATCTGAAGCAGAAGGAAGAATCAAAGTTCTTCTCAGAGGCCCTACCAAAACATATTAATATAATAAAGACTTTTATTTTTATAATAAATGAAAGGAGGCTTTTGTTTATGACCCATAAATATATTTTCACTGCTGCCAAAATATCTGGCACATAGTAGGCACTTAATGAATATTTGAAGAACGAATGACTGAATGAAAGAACGCATATTACCTGGCTAATTGATTAAGCAGAATTTCAGGATTCATTGATAATTTATTCATTTTTACATCAAACAATTTGTGAATAACTTTAGATCTTATCAATTTCATCCTTTTCATTTTGATGAAGAATTTGATGCCCAGAGATTTTCAGTGCCAGCTGCCTATTCTGAGAGAGACAACCACTCTGAGGGGCTTGGGGTGTTCTTCCCGAGAAATATACCAGCCTGTGGCATCGTAAAAAGTAGGAGCTAGACACAATGCTGGTGAACCAGTTTGCTCCAGGTTACAACTCAACTACTTTCAAATTTGTAAAAATCCAATTATCTTGTGGCTCAAGTCTAGTTATTTTCTTCTAGTGCCAGTTGTGACCCAATTTTGCAAGGAGAAATTCTTCTTTTAAAAAAACCTTTAAAAAAACCTCCTTTTTGCTCTTCCTCCCACTTAGACCACAAATCCAGGATCAGTCTGAACCTTTATTCTGCTCTAAGAAACATACTTTCCAACTGCTCCCTGCTTTTCTTCCTTAACAAGTTTCCCCAAGTCTTTTCTCAGACCATATTTCGAATGTCAGTTCTTCCTCCAGCTAGCAACTCAGTCAACAAGTATTTAATGAGAGTCTGCTCATATGTGCACTAATTTGCAATGCTCGCAATCTTTCCTGCTCAAACATCTGAATTTGGGAACGTTGTGTGAGGAAGTTTATAATAGGCCAGGAACCCTCAGGCCACTCCATCAGCTAAAACAAGCATGTTGTATTCTCAGTACTAGATTTTGTACCTCCTGGAAGTAGAGCAAGAAATAAGAGAATCATCTCTGCCAATCTTAATATCCAACGACTTGCCTTAATCTCTAAATCCACACTTCATATAGTCAATACAGTCTTGTATTGACCTAGTACATTCTTGTTCTCCAAAGTAACGTAAAAAATGTTTTTTACCTGTAATCCCAGCACTTTGGGAGGCCGAGGCGGGCGGATCACAAGGTCAGGAGATGGAGACCACGGTGAAATCCCATCTCTACTAAAAAAAAAAAAAAAAAAAAAAAAATACAAAAAATTAGCCGGGCGCAGTGGCAGGCGCCTGTAGTCACAGCTACTCAGGAGGCTGAGGCAGGAGAATGTCGTGAACCCGGGAGGTGGAGCTTGCAGTGAGCCGAGATCGCGCCACTGCACTCCAACCTGGCCGACAGAGCGAGACTCCGTCTCCAAAAAAAAAAAAAAAAAAGTTTTTTAAACCTGGATTTAGGACATATGTTTAAATCTAAGCAGTTTGGAGAAAAAATAGATAACATGTTTTGCCTATTTCCCAATTGTTTTATATAAAATGAAAGTCAAAGAATTTAGCCTTCTTTTAGTTAACAAGCACTACCTGCCTGTTTTCTCCATGAATGTAGAAAACCAGCTGTACCCAAGCAGTACAAAAGATTCAAATTTGACATTTTGTTTTCCCAAGTATTTAGCAAGTGAATATGTACAAGAATTGTCAATCCATGAAGAAAGAAAAAAATGTCTAAATGTTTCAAAATAGATAAGTAGATTCTAGGAAGGGGAGTTAAAAATAACATGGAATTGTACCAATTTGCCAGATTAATGGACATGAATGAGATACGTTCATGTCCAAAACCCCCTATATTTTTCTAACAGTACTAAGAGCAAAAAGAGACTCTTTTCACTTGGTTCTGGGGGCTGAAGGTAATATGTACATATAAAGTGAAAATTCTATAGGCTGATAAACATAAAGCTCTGATCTGAACCCATTCAAAGAGAAGCATAACCCAAGACGGTATCCAACCAAAATAATGGTTCCATGTAGATTCATTTCACCCTATTTAAATGAAAAAGATGAAAATATCTAGAACTTCAATCTTCTGTAAATATTTCCAAGTAAGGGCAATATTTAAAACAATGATTACTAGAACATTTGAGATTTTCCTACTTGATTTAAATGTATAATTCTATGCTGTGTTTCATCTGGGAATGCAACAAGACTGTGAGGAACTTATGAAAGCAAATGGCATCTAAGTACTACCTATCATAAAACAAAGGCCATGGAATCCATGACCTTGGTCTCTTACCAACAATTCCTCAGCTAGATACTATAACTTTATGCCACATGAAAGGATTATGGGCTGATTCCTGACATATCTTTTTACCTTTGACTCAAGTATAAGGAGTTTTGAATTAATGATAGACAACTCCAAATCATTACTTATTTGGTATACTCCTACATGTTTAGTGAGACTATATTAGCACTAAAAGAATGGAAAATTTTAATTCTGACCTAGCTTCAGTAGTGATTCATCATTTTAAATTCTTTGGAAAGCAAAATAGGGTAAAATAAATAAATAAACCAAAATATTTGCAAGGGATCTGGTGTGATAAATACATGCTGAGTAACAAATGATGAAATTGGTCCTCCACACTGGTTGCTGACTGAATTTTCTGGTACTCCTCGAGTATCTAGGAAAGAGTATAGGTCTTGATCATTATAGGGTACCAGGTATCATCATTGATGTTGTTTCAAGTGTTTAATGCAAACTTCTTTTGCACACTGAAAAAGCACGCCGTTTAAGTGGGCAGGTGTCTTTATGTGTCTTTATGTCTTTATGTGTGTTATTTTTAGAGGAAATAATTGCAGAAAAAGTAGAAAGTTAATATTGAGTATTCCTGGGTAGAGTATGTCTCCTCTATCTATGAAAATATCAAGAATAATATAGTAGAATAAAATAATGTTTTCCAAAGATGTCCATATGTTAATCTCTGAAACCTGTGAATATGTTACCTTATGTGGCAAAAGGGATTTTGCAAACATGATTAAGTTAAGGATCTTGACCTAGAGAGATTAACCTTAATTATCTGGATGGGCTCAGTGTAATCACACCTGTCCTTATAAGAGGAATTTAGGATAATCAGAGTCAGAGAAGGAGATGTGAGGATGAAAGCAGTGTCAGAGAGATTTGAAGATGCTGCATTACTGACTTCAAAGATGAAAAGGCTACAAGACAAGGAATGCAGATTGCCTCTAGAAATGGAAAGAAGCAAGGAAGAGATTAGTCTCTAGAGTCCAGAAGGAATGTAGCCCTTTCTTGTAGCCCATAAGACCCTTTCAGACTTCTGACCTCCAGAGGTGTGTGATAATAAATTTGTATTGTTTTTAAGCTCTTAAGTTGGTAGTAATCAGATACAGCATCAATAGGAAACTAATGCAAATGGGTTTATAAAAAGAGAAATCTCTGGAGCTAGATTGTTTGGGTTTGAACCCACATCTCTCTGTGATATTGATCAATTTAATTTTTCTGTTTCATTTTCTTCATCAGAATAGGAATAATAATGGTAATTATTTCATAGGGTTGAGGCAAGGACTAAATTAACTAATATATGTAAAACATAAATATGAGTCTGGAATGAAGAAATCACTGCATATGTATTATACATTATGTTCAGAATTGGAGCAAAGGGCATATCTGAGAGTTAATCAGTAACTCTTGTTTGTGTGTGTGTGTTTTTTTTTTCTGTTGTTGTTTTGGTCTCGTTGCCCAGACTACAGTGCAATGGCGTGATCTCGGCTCATTGCAACCTCCGCCTCCCGGGTTCAAGCGGTTCTCCTGCCTCAGCCTCCCAAGTAGCTGGGATTACAGGCATGTACCACCACACCCGGCTAATTTTGTATTTTTAGTAGAGACGGGGTTTCTCCATGTTGGTCAGGCTGCTCTCGAACTCCCGACCTCAGGTGATCTGCCTGCCTCGGCCTCCCAAAGTGCTGGGATTACAGGCGTGAGCCACCACACTTGGGCATTAATCGATAACTCTTACGTAGCTCCTGCATAGCTGCCACCTGCTCAGTTGGTACATGTATGGCAGCTTGGTCTATTGGCAAAGTGACTTTCTGTCTACAGTGTATGGAAATACATGGCCTCTTACTCCATTATTTTCCTGTTTTGCTGGTATAGTTCATGACCTATTTCCAACTCTAAAGAAGGATAAGGGGTCATTTCAAATCATTCTGAGGCAAGAGTCAAAGGAATTAAGTTCAAGATTCCAAAATTAGATCAATAGAAGGCTAGTGCAATAAAAGGCAACCTGGGACCAAATATAAAGTCAGAGTCACAAATGATGTCAAATTTGAGCAGCATTGATGACATCAGATTTTGCTGCTTGATTCAAGGTTGAAGGCGGAAGATGACAGAGAAGGAGACAATTCATGGGAGAGACTGAACATATGGAAGTCTATATAAATTTCCCAAACCATCATTATGAGTTTGAGGTTATGGAATTTTCCTAATCTACTTTTAGTGCAGAAATCTCTCCAGAGATTCAAGTACCTCTTTCTAATAGTCAACCGGTCATCTCTTCATATCTCCTCCCCATAGTACTTATCTTGCTTGATTAATGATACTAACATTCCATACAGAAACTGGAAACTATCATCAACCTCTCCCTCATAGCTAATATCTAACTGGCCAAATCCCATCAATTCTACGTGTCAAGTAAACCTCAATTCGTCTTCTGTCTCCAACCCCATGGTTTAGGCCCTAATAGTTTCTCACTAGCTTCCTAAAGGGTCTGTCTGCTTCTATTGTCACCATGTTTCAACTAATCCTATACACTGCCTAAACTATCTTCATGAAGTTTGAATTTGTTCATGCCATTCTTATGTTTAAAATATTTTGATAAATTTTTTCAACTATAGAACAAAACCAAAATTTCTTAGCAAAGACTTTTATGTTCTAGCTAGATCTGCTTTTTCCAATATCGTGACGCTGTTTACTAATTCTTAGGTGCCAGTCATCTGTGAACTATCTCTTGATCCTACCCAAGCACAGAGTTATTTTTCATGCTTCCATATCTTTGCATATACTCTTCGTTTCCCTGAATGCACCTCATCTATCATTCACCTGACATATTCTTATTCATCTTTCAAACTTTGCCTAAATGTTATCACACTGACAAATAACGTGATGCCTTTTCTTACTGCAGAGTGTTTGCTGCATGTGTGTGTTCATAGCAGGTATGAAGCTCAGTAAGTGTAGAAGAACTTGTGGGAGAAGCATTCTTTCTTTTTCTGTGACACGAATTAATTTTACTTTGAGCTCTCATTTTGCCATTGTAGCAGAAAATTGTCCTAAATTAATTTGGGCTTCCTGCTTCTTTTTCTGAGGCTGGGTTTAAATTCTAGGAGACTCAGGTAATTCCAAGTACTTAGGGACAGGTGTTGTGCTGAATCCCTATTGACCACAATAGGGAAGGTACCAGGTTCAAGAGGTGGAAGAAGAGATGCAGAGTCAGCAAACGAGTCATGGGTTTTTTTTTTAGGGGGTTACATACAGGGTAGACAGTCCAATGGCAGCAGGCTGAACAGGAGAACCGCCTTACGTACAGAAATGGTATCGTGGCAGCAGGCTGAACGAGATATCCGCCTTACATACCATCCAGTGGAGATGGGCTGGACAAGATAACCACAGGGCCCAGTGGCCACAGTGGTGGGCTGGGCAGGAAAATGGCAACAACCTGCAGTTTATATAGCATTTTTACTTGACACCCTCCCTTTGACGATCTCACCTGGCAACCTTCATCCAACCCAAAACTCAGGGCTTCAATCCTCTGGGTGGCCTGTGTTCCAATGGATGAGACAGGGGCTAAGTTGTTCCTCATATACAAGGAATGAATCTCCGGGTTGACCACTCCACACATTCCGGTGTGTCTGCCATACAGGGCCATCCTAAGGGTATGTTTAGCTTTTTGCTCTCAGGTTTGTTTACCCTACCCTCCACTCCAGCATACCCTTGAATGGCCCTCACATTCTTATCACGCCAGTGGTCCGTGATTTCCCTGGGGCCAGGTATGCAAAGGAGCCTAGGAGTAAATGCCAGCAACAATATAAACTACAACAACAAATACAGTGATAATCATAAAGCTCTTCCAAACGCTTGGAAGTTCATCCTGGATGTGCCATGGCAGGCCTGTGGTGGAGGAGAGGGGAAGCTCTCTGCAGGCCCAACAGTCTACTTTGTTCTAGAGAAAGGCCACCATCTGTGCCCAGTTGGTAAAGAGGTTTGCTGTACACCGTCTATGGGGGGAAGGTGAGATGTTTAGTGGGTATAAGAAAGGGCACTCAGGAGCAGTCAAGATATAGGAAGTTGTGTCATTCTGAGAGCACCACCCCTGGCATAGGACTTGTACTGGTTTATGAAACCAAATGGATTAGACCCCCTCTGCACTACAGGAGGCCAGAGTAAGACACCAGGGGCACCAAAGTGTTCCACAATAAGAGGATGATTGTTCTAGAACAAGAGAATGATCATCCCCCTGCACAAGAGAGGACCAGGACCCACCATCTTAGAAGTACGAGGGGAAGTAGGGTGCAAAACAACTGTGACCTGTATGTCCTGTTCTAGGCCTTTTCCCTATGGAGCAGAAAAAACAAACCATGGCTGGTTTGACACTTCCAGGACCATGTAATGATGGGCTCTGTGGTGGGTCGCTCCTGTGGCAAGGGCAATAGTAGGTTACTTTGAGTCCCAGGGTAGGGCAAAGGTGAGTCAGGAATTGGACCTAGTCCCTCTTATATGAAGGAAGGAATCCACAGAGGTCTAGTGGCCTCCATAAAAGACTGTCCTTCAGTTGTCACATAGGTGACAGTGTCAAGCATCCCATGGAGCTTTGCATTCAAGAGGCTACCAGTCAATGTGCTCCGTTGCAGCCCTGCATGCCTTCTGGCCACAGTCTGTGTCTGAGCATTCCCAGACCTCAGTCTCGGGGAAAGCATTCTTGAGCCAACCTGCCATGGAGTACTGGGTATGCACCAACACCAGGACGCCCTCTACAGTGTCCTCTACCTGCTGCAAAGCACAATATGCAGCTCAGAGTTCTTGCTCCATGGTACCATAATCCACCTTCAGCCCCCTTCCACAGTAGGGACCAGAATCCTGAATTCACCCATTTACGTCTTTGCCACAGGCCCCACTCAAACCTCTCAGGGACTTGGGCTATACCTAATTCACAAGGCTGTCCCTGCACTGGAACACTCAAGGCTTTTATCTATTTCACTGTGACTTGTAGCTTGTTTAAAGTCCTCATCCTCCTTTGTTGACCCATCCCATTGGCCACTTCCTGACTAAGTGCTATGGGGGCCAAAGGAGTTGGGCCAAATGGGGAATACAAGGATGCCAATACCATAAAAGACCTGAGAAAACTCGCAACTGCTTTGGTGTGGTAGGACATGGGTAGGCCTGAACCTTACCCATAATGTCAGACTGAAAGACTTTGCTGTTACCTGACCAGATGACACCCAAGTATTTGTCCCTGAGCCTGGACCTTGGACTTTGTCTGTGATGACCACCTATCCTCTGTTGGGGCAGCTGGGTGGGGCTTGCAGTTTGTAAGCTGGACTCTGAAGTTAGCATGATATCATCAATGTGATGGAAAACGTGTAACTCCCCTGGGTGGTATCCATGGGGCAAGAAAGTAAAGGTCCAGTGCAAATTGGCCTTGATTCCCTGAGGCAGAGGAGATGCTGAAGAAGGCATTGGCTAAATCCATAATAAAAGAGTAGGTGGCTGGCCCTCTCCTACTCTTATGTTCATCAGAAGGGAGGCAATACTGGGTGCAGCTCCATACATTAGGGAGGACCATCTTATTCAATTCCTGGTAATCTACTTTTACTCTCCATAGGTATCTGCACAGGCCTAGAGGGCTTTGGTATTGTCTGTCTTCTGGCCTTATAATGCCTACCCAGGCTAATTCCTTAATACTGCCATCATTCCTCTGTCTTCTCCATCTATACCCCCCCTCCCAGGTTGAGAGGATTAGTAGGAAAGGTGGTTATTTTCCTTTCATGTATTTTTAATCTGTATTTCAACTCTTCTTCATTCCCTCATGGCCTTAAGTATCTATAAAGCAAAGCCACAATAAAATTCCAGCTTTTTTTTTTTTGATTATTGTTTCATTGTTGTTGTGGCTATTGTGGTCATTGTGTTTCTGTTTTGTTGCTTCCCTTTGGAAGGAGTGAACGTAGCAGTCTATCCGCAGGAGCGGGGAGAAAGAGAAAGAATAAATCCAGGTGGGAAAGACAAATGGAAATATATCTTTACCGTATTATCCTCTTCCACACCACAATTGACATAGAAGCCAAAGACAGAGTCCAAAACAACTAATTTCTGCTGTGGCTGTTGTTAAGACAATTTGCAAAGCAGAAGAAGTTAGTTTTTA
This sequence comes from Homo sapiens, assembly GCF_000001405.40. Taxonomy (NCBI): domain Eukaryota; kingdom Metazoa; phylum Chordata; class Mammalia; order Primates; family Hominidae; genus Homo; species Homo sapiens. The sequence goes on from NC_000003.12 coordinate 87,039,343, forward strand.
GACATCATATCTTTCCAATGTTTTCATCAACTTTTTCTCTCTTCTCATTTTAGTTCACTCATTTCCTCCTTAATCCATCAAAATATGTTATCAAGAAAGCTTCATTTAGCAGTTATTTTCTATTAATATATAACTCTAATAGTAGTATGTTTAAAACCGTTGATTTTTGCATGTTAATCTCATCTACATTACAGAACTTATAGTCATATGCTAAAATGGGAGGGGGTAGGGAGGTATTTTAAGGCAAACATACATTCTGATTATCAAAAAAAAAATAGATCGGTTTCTTTTGTCTATGATGCTTTCAGGGGCCAGACCAAGAAGCTAGCTAAGAAAATAGACATACATGAGACTATACAAAATTTTGTTGTCTGCTTGTAGGCAATCAGAAAATATAATTGCTAGTAATTCTTTCTTTGACTAATTTGTTATCCAGTTGTGCCAGGGGTCGCTTTGGGTTCAGTTACTCATCATAATTTGCAAGAATAATTCTGTGGGTCTTCTTCAACTGCCAAGCATCAGCTGCCAGGTTTGATTTACATAGTTACAGAAGATAATATCATTTTAAAAATTACTACCATATGAATGTTTATGCATAAATCTTCTTTTTTTACTATCTTCGTAAAATGATACATCTTGAATATATCAAAACATTATTTTTTTAAGTACATGGGGAAATAGTAAACTGAAAATTATCAACTTTCTGACAAAATTATGTGCCTAAAGATGCAATTGTAGGCATTGTCCAGTCTTAGGACAAAATTTTACTTTCATAGGAAAAGAAACTAAATATTATGAATATTCAGCAATGTATATATTAATATTTCTAGTCCTTTATTAAAGTTGCTAAACATTAAATGCTTTTTAAAATGAATAAAGACTATATATAATTTACACCAAATAAATACTTCGGTATTTAAACATTTTAAATTGTCATTCCCAAATTTAGAGGCCGAGGGCAACTTTTTGTTTTTTGCATAATAAGGCCAAGAACAAAACCTTGAAATGGACCCAAACCATTTGAGGGTTTAAATATCTTGTTTTTTCAGCTGTGCATTCTAGAAGAGCCTACAGATATCTAACGGTGTACACTTTAAAGATTTCACTGAAAGGAAAAATATTGTATTTTATGATAGAAAACTACTTTTGGTAAATATGGATGTAAATGAAAACAGAAGATGCACTTTGCACTTCAGAGTTTAACTGAAAGGGAAGTTTTATTTACAAAATTCTTTTTTTAAGTCATCTAATTTTGACTTGAGTGTCTTCCACTTCCATTTGCCTTTTTGTCTGTGCTTCATGATTCCTTTCTCTTAGTCCATAGTTCAGGTACTGTGACTATTGAAAAGTTTTTGAATGTTAAATTGAGTCCAGTGTTCGTGGACTTAAATGTTCTCTTCCCCTGATTCACCACTTGTTCAGCCAAAGCTGTTCCACTCAAAAGACAGAAACATACATTGGTTCTCATATAGCTTCCACACTTAGTAAAAATATTAACGTGCTCTATTTCCCACCTTCAACAGAGGAATTCAAATCACTTACCAAACAAATGTATGAGTAGGTACTATTTCATTCAGAAGGCTAGTTACCTGGAGTAAAAGCAGGTTGCCTTATCCTGGTAGTTTTCCCTATTGCTTGACACTGGTCAACCAGCAGGAAGATTATATTTGCCACAGGGTGATACAAAGTTGTCAAATGATACAGTTTAACTGCCAGGGCCCTACTCAGTTTAATTTCCAAAACTGATTAGGCATTACCTGGAAGACATTAGGAGCACACACAGATAAGTAAATACTGGATTTATGTTGCTTTAAATTGGGATTCATATTTTCAAAACAAGTGTTATAGTTTTCTGGATGTGTACTTGGTTTAATAAGGTTGCTAATGTTGGCTTTTAACACTGGCTATTACAATTTTTTGTTACAGGAGAAAATTCAAAGAAGACAATATTTCATTGACATTTTAAATTATATTTGTACTACATATATATTTCTATACGCGTACACAAAGAGAGAATGGCATTTGGTTATTGTGTGATGCAATATTTTGTCTACTAGATGGGTCTCACTTTCATATTTATCAAAACAAGGCACATATTTTTCTCTGTTCATTCTGATTGACCTCACAGAGTTACCTGTTGGAGTTAGAAAGAACACCTAACCAATGCTCTTCAAAAGTGCTAAAAAGTTGCAAAACAACAACAACAACAACAACAAAAGACCGACTGTTACAACTGTTTGTAACTGGAAGAGACTAAAACAAATATCAAAATGCAATGCTGGAGCCAGAATCCAAATCTGGAACAAAAGAAAAAATTAATTGGACAACTGGTGAAATCTGAATAATGTGTGGAATTTAGTTAACAGTAAGTACAAATACTAATTTCCTGATTTTGATCATTGTACCGTGGTTATGGTACAATTACCTTCCTTCTTTCCTTTCTCTCTTCCTTTTTCTCCCTCCCTCCTTGTCTTCTCTCTTCCTCTCCCACACCTTTGCCCCACCTTCCTCTTCCTCCTCCTTCCCTATCCCTAGCACTTTCTCTCACAGCATCTCTTTCTTGTTTCTATCCCTGTTTCTCTCTCTTCTTTTTTTTTATTGTGTCAGTATTCGTCCTTCTGAATTTCAGAGAGTTTAATAATTTTTTATACTTTATTACTGATTCAGATTGCTTGTATTCTGCCCTTTACTGCATTAGAGGCAGATTTTAATTTGGCTATTGCATTACTTTTCAATGTTGCTTTAACACATCATAATTGTTTGTTACTTAATAAGACCGTACTACTTTCTAAGGTTGCCAGAGTTATGTTTCTTATCTTACTTTAAAGTCCTTCATTATCTTCTGAGTTTTTGCAACTCCCTGTACACAACATAACTGGGAGTAGAAATAGACACTTCAAATGAGATATCATTAAGCTGCAAGGCTATCAGAAGTTAACAAAAGGTGGACCAAAGTGTTAAAAATACGTCTGATGAGAATGATAAAGTATGAAAGGATTTAAGAATGAACGAGGGAAATCTGTTTCATATCTTTAGCATGGTGGAAGATACACAAATGTACACAAGTGATAAAATCTGTAGAGAACTTATAAACAACCAGGCACGGTGGCTCACATATGTAATCTCAGGCCTTTGGGAGGCCGAGGCGGGCAGATCACGTGAGGTCAGGAGTCCAAGACCTGTCTGACTAACATGGTGAAACCCCATCTCTACTAAAAATACAAAAATTAGCCGGCTGTGGTGGCACATGTCTGTAATCCAAGCTACTTGGGAGGCTGAGGTAGGAGAATTGCTAGATCCCGGGAGGTGGAGGTTGCAGGTTGCAGTGAGCCGAGATTGTGCCATTGCACTCCAGCCTGGGTGACAAGAGTGAAACTCCGTCTCAAAAAAAAAAAAAAAAAAAAAAGCTTATACGCATGCGCACACACAAACATGCACATATATACAGATGAGTACAAGTAAAACAGGAAATCTGAGTAAGATTGATAAGATCACTGTCAATATCTTGGTTATCCTACTATAGTTTTGCAAAATGTTATTTATGGAAACTAGGCAAAATGTAGATGTAATGTCTGATTATTTCTTACAACTGCTTGTGAATCTATAATTATCCCAATTAAGAAAAAAATGTGAAGGCAAAATAAAGATAATCACCAATTTAAAAAGAAAGAGAAAGAGAGACAGAGAAGAACCTAAACTACTAGCCATTCTCTTAAGGAGAAAAGAAAGAAATTTATATTGTGTGGTTCTTGAGTAATCAGTAAACTTCTATAAAGGGCCAGACAGTAAATATTTCAGGCCTGTGGGCCTTTCTGTCTCTTGAAACTACTCATCTCTGCCATTGTAGCATGAAAGCAGCCATCACCAATACATAAATAATAACCATGGCTGTGCCCCAATAAAACTTTATTTATAGAAACTAAAAAATGAGTTTCATATGATTGTCATGTATTATGACGTACTCTACTTTTGTTAATTTTTAAAAACCATTTAAAAATGTAAAATCTATTCTTAGTTTGCAAGTCATACAAAAATGGGACGCAAAGTAGCATTTGGCACTAAGGCCGACTGTGGCTGAAAACAATGACATTCACAGCAATGTAAGTGAAGTAAAATAGGCTTTCTGTTAAGATGGTAAGGAGGATTTTTGCAGTGGATGAGAAACTGAAAATGGTGGCCCAAGATGACTTCCAATTTAAAGGTCTTGTTGCTCTTTTTGTGAAATGTAGGGAATTAAAATATAATATTTTCGTTATTTAAAATGTTATTTTTTCATTTGCCTCACAATATTGACTATTTTTTCAATATTAAAAAAAATCTGTATTTTTACATTTTTTTAAACTTGAAAGCTACCTTCCAAACCTGAATTCTTCTTTACATTCTGATTTATATCTGACTTTGGATAACATCTTCAGTAAGTTTACTTAAATTTTGCAGTGGAAGCCACAATTTAGCAAAGATCCTGGCATTCATTCAGTGGTCAATGAGGTCTAACCTGCCTTATTTTGTTGTTGTTGTTCTGTTTTGTTTTGTTTTAGGCTTTTAGCAGCCTGAAGCCATTGTTTTTAGTTTCTATCTCTAGTGATAAGTGGAAAAGAGGGATGAGAAAGGGGCTTTACTGGCCCAATCAGAAACAGAACTCATGACCGTATTGTCTCCCTTGGACACCCTGGTCTAATTATTTTTGTCACCATTGCTATTGTTGCTGTTTGCCAATTTTGTGCAAATATAAGAAGTCTGGACATGCCACAGAAAATACGAGAAACTCAGAAGACTCCCATGCAAATTACTTCCACTGAAATATCAATATATAGTGGCAGGAAAACTTGATTTCAGACAGAGGAAAGGTTTTTTGCTACTCATTGCCACGTACCTGAAATTCAGTCTTGATAATTGCAACTTTTTATCTTAAGGCTTTGGCGCTGTTCAAGGGCAGCATCTTTGGGACAGCTGCCATACTAAACTGTATGAGTGGGGTCTGATTTGGGTTTTGTAGATCCTGCCATTCTCCTTACAGTAAACAACACTGCACAATTATGGATGAAAATTAGGTATAAGACTTCAAAAGGAGGCATGCAAGAGATGGGATCTGAAGCTAGGCTGTAAGGAGCTTGACAGTAAATTTACCTCAATGTCAAAAAAGAGGATGAATTTCTCTTGTTTCACAAAGATCATTCATGAAACAAAAGATAGATGACCTCAAGGCTTAGAAAACCCGAATTTCTATGAGTAATAACATTTCCATAACATGTTAAGCAGTCAAACACTGGGAATTGATGGGAGGGACTGTGTTACCAGTGACAGACTCTACATATCTCACAGTTTAATCTTCACCCCTTTCCTTTGATGGCCTCATCATTATTGATCCCATGCAGAAGATGATATTATCCAGTCACCTGTAAACATAGAATCCTGAGGCCCTAAATTAAGTAGGCAAATAACTTGCTGAAATATGTTATGAAAATAAATAGATATGGACTTTTAACCAATAAAGACTATTGTAAGATATGACAGAGGGATTTCATTTATGAGAACATCTTTTTGAAAGGCACCATTTTCTTCTGAAAAGGATCAAAACTTTAGCACCTAAGAAAGTGGGGATTGTTGAGCCAGTACCCTTGTGTTCTCTGAGGCAGTTCTGGTTTTCTTCTTCTTGTCATTAAGCGCACACACTGAAGCATGTAATTATGGCAGCATGCTGAGAATTGAACTGGCACTCCATGAGCATATGTCTTTTCCTAAATGCCCTCTGAGCAATAGCTGATCAATGAGCATATCTTTGCAGTTCGTGCCAATGTGTTTAACTTAGGGCAATCAGATGTAACTGAATCTTTTGCATCTTAGCTGAATATTAGAATTTTATCCATGTAGTTAGAAAGAATCATCTACATTTTGCTTAAGAGAATTTCATCAGATTCAGGGCTATCGTAGGAAATATGGGGTGCAACTTGGCCCAGGTTCCATGCAGCTGAATGTGTAGATATCTATATCATCAAAAGCAAACCTGTTATTTATTAGTGGTTTTTAAATTGAATATAGCTACATTTGTGAAATATTTCAAGTTGTGTTTCAAAATTAAAAAAAGACAAAATGTATGATTAATCCCTAAAATTACAGCAAATTAAAGATGCTAAAGAATACACCAGCTTCATTATGCTGCATTATTAGAAGCTTTCTTCAGCCAGGGAAAAGGGATAGAATTACAGCTACTCATCTAAAAATTGTGTGTAGCCCGCAATATTAGTGAAGTATTTAAATAGCTATTTTTATCATTGATGTAATCATTAACCACTTCTAGAATGAATCATCTAAAACATATTTGATATGTCTAATGTTACATAGCATAGAGCAAATAGGAACTCATCCATTGTATCTATTACCATGTAGAAAGCATGGGAATTACTGGCTTAAGGAACCTGAGGGCTATGCATCCCTGATACCTGCAAATCCATAAATGCACCAGGAAATGCCTACAGATAAAATAAACTATTTGTCACACATAAATCTCATGTATTTTATAATATTTGAGTGTGTAAATGCTATTTTGATTTAAGATACCTTTTTAAAGAGTTTCTGAATTCAGGATAGATTTTTGGCCTTACGTGTTTTCACAATTAATGGACATTAAACATACAATTACTATCATATTAGAGTTTATGGAACATGAGTTTATCTTTTCTAAAAAAGGTAGTTGAAAAGTTTAACAACTACTGCAAATCTCCAAAGGTAGGGTTAGTAATGTGGCAATATTATTTCTGTCCCCAGAACTCTTATTTCACATGTGCTCCCAGGATTCTGGGCTACAGAACAGGACTTTGTAAAGCACAGGCTCATGGTAGAAGTGCAGTGGTAGGACTTATATTTTGCCCCAGATTGTGTACTCTCCTCTTCTATAAATGTTGAATCGTAGAGTTACTTTTCTCCAACATGACTTATGATCCAAATCTTTACCTACAAAAAGCAATGAGTCCTTAAAGTGCCTACGTATGTTTCTTCTAAATCTGTGTAAAGTTGCTTCTTTTAAACTGAATAATCCCTCAGTGGCAACTAGCTCATTTTAATGTTCTTTGATTAAAAACAATTGTGATTTATAGAGCGGAGGTAATGGCTTCATTTAAGATCCTACTGTTATTAACAACACAGCATGAGAGCTCTCAAGACAACAGCATTTTAGCAGAGAATGTTATGGAGCAAATGTAACACATTTCAATAGCTACAGCCCATCATCTTTTTACGTGCCTGAAGAAAGAATGCTGCATTAATATGCAGGCTGAACATATACATATCTGGATAGATTTTATGAAACCAATTTAATGCATTTTGTTAATTTAAACTTACAAAAATCACAGCGTACACATTTTTGCTAGATAACTATTTGGATGTGTCTTACATAACATTAGCATATTGCAAATGAGAAATTCATCCATTCTGTGTTTCACTAAAAAAAATTTCCTATGCTTCGCATATATAGTTGCCACAGTTAAAAAATGCATTTTTTACTTAAACATTTATTTGTTTCATCCTAAACCCTTAACATTTAAAAAAAAAAGACTATCTTTCTTTACCTCCTACTATTAAAATTCATTGACATTTGCCAGAAAGATGAATGGCATGGTGATGTGGGGGTGGCAAGTAAGTGTCCTTTAATATTAGATATGCTTCAAGTAATTTAAACTATTATATTCAAGAAGGTAAAATCAAATATCCTATCTTGCTGCCTATCTATACAGACATTCAATTAGGAAATATTTGAGATCAAGAGTATAATGCTGTATTGAAACACCATAGTTTTTGAAAATCTATATTTTTAAGCTTACATAGATGAGCCATCATAATTATTATGAGAAATATTCTCACCAAACAGATATTCAGAGCTTACTTCTAAGACTTAAATGAATATTTGAATATAAAAGCTGAATGGATTGGCTGGAGCGATTTAGTAGGACCTTCTCATTTTATTGATGAAGAAAACTCATACCAGTGAAGTGATTTATCCAAGGGCACACCAAAGTTGTGGAAGATCTGGGCTGATTTTATATTCTTTAGATTATCTCATGTTGCTTCTGCTGCTCTATTACCATCCCTTCCCTTTAGTGCAGATGTAAATAAAGATCTAGAAGCATCAGCACAATGACTATAGCTGGCCTAACCTCATTATAACTTTGTCTTTTTCCATATACTCTGTAAGTAAGAAAATTACCCACTCTCCATGTTTTTGGTCAGAAACACAATTTTGGTCGTATCTCTCTCTCTCTCTCTCTCTTTTCTAAGGCCATTTTGTTCAGTTTATGCTGAAATGGTAAAGCCTGAATTGGCAGTGGTCAAGTGAGGACCCTGCATAGGCTTCTTGGCCCTTCTGAATTAACTGAAAGGACTGGATAAAACATCTCCAGGGAGGCTCCAAATAGAATAGTATACAAGGCCGTTGAAAAAGTTTAGGATATGAAAGAATGACACTTTAGGGCTGCTTATCTTTGCCCCAGGATCCCAGAGTTTGCCAGAGGAAATATGGTAGGGAAGAGAGAGAAGGAGTTCAGACGACTTTCCTGAGCCCAGAAAGGAGTGTGTTAGTCTCATTCTAAAGGCAAATATGTAAATCAACCTTCTCAAGTCCAGTGTTGTTTGAACTGATATTTACTGAAAGTGATCCAAGAGATTCAGAAATATTACAACCACAAGGTTGCTAAGCATCCCTCTAAAGTACACAGAAGGAAACTAAAGACTTCTAACTCACACCAAGACTATTCAAATAGAAAGAACTCAAATCATTCCGAAAGCAATGTGACCTGAATGTTTCCAGGCCCTAACAGGAATGAGTTTGCCATTGTCAGTTTAAAAACAAAAAATGTTATTAATAGCCTTTCCAAATTCAAAAACAATTCCACTAAATTTCCCTACAATTCTATTCATCAATAAGTTTTTATTTTGTACTTGTAGGATTACTATACATATACAATTAGACAATTGAAAGTCAAGGGTCTTCTGAATTCAGGATAGATTTTTGGCCTTACGTGTTTTCACAATTAATGGACATTAAGTAAGGGCTTAATAAATAGTAAGGGCTTAATAAGAGTAATTAATGGACATTCAGTAAGGGCTTAATAAATAGTAAGATACTATGATTTTAAGTAATGTTCGATTTTGTTTCTTATACCAAAATATATTGCTCTAAAATTGTATTTTCTGTGTTATAGTTAGTGCCACACAGCAAAGCAAGCATTTCATTAGCAAGATGTAAATGAAGCAAACTTATTTGGTTAAATATAGAAAAACACAGCTTTTCGTTTATTTAAAAAATATTTTATTCAGTTACTGGCCATCCAGTTTGTGTGTCTATATGTCTGTATGTTTAAAAAGAAGACACAGTTTAAGCTATTTATCTTCAATTACAAAAGGGGAAAACTCAAATGTAGGGGTTAATACGTTTGATTTTAAACTCAATACTAACTATGACCCCTGGATATGCTGAGCCTTGACTAATTATTATGCAAGACTTCAAAATGTCTAAAGAGAGAGCGAGAAGAGAAGACAGAGATACCATCAAAACAATGCTACGAGCTCACCAATGCTTGTATTATTCCAATTAACCTGTGTCATAAAATGATCAACTAACACAATTTTGCCAAATCTAACTTCCCTTCTTAGTGATTCACTTTACAAACAGCCTCCCATCACTTTCCAAATAGTTGATTTCTCCATTTAGAAACTCTCTCTTACTTTGGCTTCAGTAACACTAAATCTTCACAGCATTCCTTCTCTCTTTCTTTGGCCACTATTTCACAATTTTTCTGCTTCTCCTCTATCCAAAATTTAAATGTAGTTTTATAGGCCTTGTTTTTATAACCTCTTTTGTTCTTTTTTTTAAACATACTTATTACACATATTTATCAACAAGACATCACAAATAAGTCACAAAAAGTAGGCTTACTTCAGTTCACAATATAAATCCCTTGAAAACACATTTTTCATCTCTGCAGTTTATAATACTCTACGTATATAAATTTAAAGCAGTTAAACAACATTTGAGATTAAATTGGTAAAAAAAAATTGAATTCAGACTTCAGAAAATTGTGAAGTAAAAGGCCATGATGGAGAAATATTAAGAAATCTGTAGAATTACTGAACTGTCACAGTATTATTTTCCTTTACAAAAGCATCTCAGTAAAACAAAAACTACAGAAAACGCAAAGTAAAATCAGAGATTTTGGTTTAGTACTTTCCCTGAGTTTCTTGTTTTAAAAATCAAAGTAAGTCCAGTTCAAAATTGACCCACAGGTCTTACCTCCTCCATGCTGCCATGGGGAATACATTTAAGACAAGAGGCTACACATGTTGAAGTGGTCCCAGGGCTTTATTCAAATGCCAATTTGCCCGTGTCACTGCCACAGGGTTGTCTGACCCACTGCTGCATGTGGGCTTAAAGAGCTTTCAAAATTTTATCTTGGTCTGCTATAATATAATATGTGAGACTATATACCAAAGGAAGACAAGCAGTTTCAGTTATTAATATTAAATTTCTAAATGGATCTGGACACTATATACATCAAATTATGGTAACATAACAGAAACAAACACTTTTATGTTTAAAAATTCTTACATAAAGGTTTGGGGTCATCTTAAACTTCTAAATCTCAGATGTTACAAGAAAAAACTTCAAAAAAGAAATCAAATTCATTAGATCTTAATAAAGTAGAAAAAAGCGATTATAAGATGATACTTGGACTTGGATTATAAGTTGATACTAACTCCCCAAAGTGGTTGACTCTTTGATCCTTAAACAAAACTGGCCCCTATTGTGTCTGTACTTGATCACTTAATTGCAATAATATTTATGTGTATGTGTACATGTATATGTACATCTACATGTATATATGCTTGCAAGTGATCAAGCCCTTCATTAAAAAACTATATGATAATTAATTAAATTAAGGATAAAGGGATTGTTTTATTCTAAAAATTTGGTTTTTATTTCAAACGTACCAGGTTACTTGCTGAGCTTATAGTATCAGGGCGCTAAATACTGTGGATCACATTTTCTAATCAAATGTAGGAAAAACTTTTTCACAGATTTTTACAACCCTTTTTAGGACATCTCAAAGAGAGATGGCAAAGATCTGCCAATTATATCTCCTTCCATCATAATGAAATCTTAATTGTAAACTAATTTCAAAAAGTTAATAATCATTAGCTTTCCGAAAGCTAACAATCATGAGCTGTCTTAAAATCAGAAGTGAAATGATGACTCAAATCACAAAAGTATGACACTTATTCACATTCTTATTAATTATTTAGTCTAATAAGTATCCCATTGCACATGTGGGGAAACTGAGGCACCACAGATTATATTTTGTGTTTTTTGTTTTTAAAGATTTGTCTACAGTTAGACAGGGAAGCCAAGGTCATAACTACAGCCAGAACTTTACAAGCTAGACACCTATGAGGTATAATGTATTCTATTCAAACTTTGTGTGAAATGTTACATTTAACTCACCTGTCTTGTTGGCATCACCTCTCCTTAACCCTAACTTCTTGCAAACCCTTTAAAGCATGGACATGGCAAATGTCAGTGACCACCTGCCTTCTCTGACCAGGTTAAAAAGGCTAGCCAATGCTTGTGTAAAAAAAAGAACACCACATATTGTTGTATTATATGCAATTAGAAATGTTTGGTTGGTTATCCCACTTTGGTATCCTTTTCAGAAAAAAAAAATCTCAAAACTTATAAAGGTAAACATAAGCATGGCATTTTACATTGTACCAACTGAGTAACAGTAAATAGATGAGGTGTGACCACTATAACTTCTTGACCACCTTTCTATCTTGAAACTACACACATCCAACCCTACCAGCTACCATTCTAATTCTACAGGATATTTTCCAGTGAGACAAGCTGTACAATGACCACTCTTTTCAAAACATTCCAGACCATTTCCATTTTCTTGGATCATAATATCGTGCTTTTTCTCTTTCTGTTTTTTAAACTGTATCCCTTCTTGCACAGATGAAACCAGTCCTTCTACTGACAGATACACAACACTGTTTGCTCCTAGATATTCTGCAAGGTGATCAAATTCTGGTTTATTGGCAATGAGCTCTTCTTTTGTAGGAATGTTTATTCCCATGAAGCATGGATATTTAATTGGTGGTGAAGCTACTGGAATGTGTTCCTCTTTTGCACCAGATTCTTTGAGCAATTTTATGATAGTTGAGATGGTATTGCCTCTCACAATTGAGTCATCTACAAGAACAATTCTTTTGCCTTTAAAGTTGTCTGACAATACTCCAAATTTTTTTGCAACACCAAGTTGTCTTAACCTCATGTTTGGCTGAATGAAGGTTCTCCCTACATATCAGGTTTTACACAGCACCTCCACATATGGAAGTCCACACTTCCCTGCATGAGCAAGAGCAGCAGGCGTAGCAGATTCTGGAACAGAGCTAACCAAATCTGCATCCATAGGTGCTTCAATAGCTAGCTGCTGGCCACGACGGTATTTTATTGTATAAACCATTTGGTCTTCAAACATACTGTCTGGTCTTGCAAAATAAACATATTCAAAGATACAAAAAGCCATAGGGTTTCCTTCAGACCTTGATATAATATCAAGAGTTCGGACATTACGTCTGGATATTTCCACAATTTCTCCAGGCAAGACTTCACGGTAATATCTTGCACCAATAGATAAGAAGCTACAAGATTCTGAAGACACCACCCGTCCTTCTGTTTCCGATGTTTTTTTCTCTTTGTCATTTATATCAGACGCTGGAATAAGACGATCAATGCATAAGGGACGATTTCCATAATGATCTCATACTGCGTAAATAACGTCTCTGGGCATTTTAAGCAGGGAGTATGCTGTGGGTGTTTCCTTCATCAAGTTTTTAATCCTGGCTACCCAGTCTGGGGTGTCATCTTGTTCCTGAGGAGGGGTATACGCCAGTAACTGGGTAATCACTTCACTATCAGAACTTGTGGACAGATCAATACCATGACGCAGAAGCTTTTTCCTTAATCGAGCAGCATTTGCCAATTGGCCATTATGTGCCACAGCTATCTTCCCATAAAGTGTTTCAGCAACAAAGGGCTGACAATTTTCTAGTTCACATTTTCCTGTGGTGGCATACCTTGTGTGTCCAATTCCAAGATTTGAAACATGTCATTTTTTCAAATTGTCTTCAGTAAAGACGTGATTTACAAGACCCATTCCCTTGTGTGATTTGAATGTTGGCGCTGAACTCCCGTCACTAGTCAGAGTACCAGCACTCTCCTGACCCCGGCGCTGCGGCGTCCCAGAGTGATCACATGCGGCACATCCAGCTGCGTGGGCCACTCTCCTGAGGCGATGCACCGGAACACGCCACATTCCTCTCGGATCCCCGACTCCTCCAGCTCCAGGTCGCCGCCGAAAGCACGTGGAGGGACCTGCCGCTGCGGCCAAGGTGTAAGCACCAACCAGCTGCCAGCTCGGCCCATCGAGCTCAGAAGCTCGCGCTCGCGACAGGCGCTTCCTTCCCGAGGCTGGCTCCCCTCTTTTGTTCTTAATGTAAATTTTCACCCTAGGTTAACTTGCAGCCTTTAGTGTCATTTAACAGAAAGGTAGTCCCCATTATCCCATCCCACAAGTATTTTTCTTTATATTCTTGCTAGTGGTGGGAAGGGAGTCTAGTATAATTGAGTAGAAGGGAAAATATACTTTTTATTTATTTATTTATTTATTTATTTATTTATTTATTTATTTATTTATTTTGAGATGGAGTCTCCCCGTGTCGCCCAGGCTGGAGTGCAGTGGCACCATGCCGGCTCACTGCAAGCTCCGCCTCCCGGGTTAGCATCATTCTTCTGCCTCAGCCTCCCGAGTAGCTGGAACTACAGGCGCCCGCCACCACGCCCAGCTAATTTTTTTTTTTTTTTTGTATTTTTAGTAGAGACGGGGTTTCACAGTGTTAGCCAGGATGGTCTCGATCTCCTGACTTCGTGATCTGCCCGCCCTGGCCTCCCAAAGTGCTGGGATTACAGGCGTGAGCCACCACGCCCGGCCGAAAATATCCTTTATTAAACCCATAATGCATCAAGGTCATCAAGGTGATGAGTAAATGCTATTGACTTACTCTCCAAGCTGAAGTTTAAACACTGGAATGTCCTCTTGTAGCGTGGACAGTAAGATTGTATCATGAGTTGCCAAGAATTACCATTTTTATGACTTTGAGGACCATAAACAACTAGACCCTGGAGAAGAGGCCAAAGGTTTAGAAAGAGGAGGAAGAATGTGCATGGAAGGGACAGAATGGAAGGAGACTATACATATATTTGTAAGCAGCTAATGGAAAGACTGTTGATTTGCTATTTTTTTCTATTGACTCTACATGTGCATCATTCCAAATGCTGATGTCATAATTAATGAGTTACATCAGTGCTCAGGACTTCTGCTTTTTTTGCCAGCCTAGATTTTCCTTTAAGTTTCAGAATGTTTTACAGAGTTATTACTCAATTTATCCATGTTATTTCTAGCTAAGCATTTATGAAAGAAAACTCATATACTTCTTTCTGTTTTTCTTACTCTAATGTTATTTATTTCATTGTTGCTCATGAACAAACCTAAAAGCTACCCTTAACAAACAACTCATTATTCCTCATCCTCTATATCAAATCCATGCATTCTCCACTATCTCTGCTCTCATTACCTTAGTCCAAGTTATTAGGATTTCTTATCTGGATGATTTAAATATCCATAGGTTGGTTTTTAAATGTATTTTATTATTTTTTTATCAGAGTTCTACATGCATGCATGAATTCTACATGGATTAAAAAGTCAAATAGTTCTACAAGGTTTGTTCAAGGCTTGCTACACACCCAGAGTACACTGACATTCTCATCTTCCAGCTCCAAGTTAACCATTTTCAATTCTATTAGTTAAGTTAATCATTTTGGCATTTACCTCTACAGCTCCACAAATAAATAACATTGTTATTTCTTGATTCAGAATGGAACATTAATTTTCTGCACATTTTGTATTCCCTAGATTTTCTCTAATTGTCTAGAATTTTTTCTTTTAGTATGCTTACTTTTGCATTTATCACAAATTCTTTGCCAGTTGTCTAAATGTCCAGTTGTCGGATACATCAGATATTCTTTCAGTTTCTGCATTTTGAAAAACCTCTCCCACAGCCTATTGACTTGTTCTGGTCTGGTTGACTTCCATGACTGGCTTGCTTCTCCCTTCTAAGCCCTCCTGGGCATTTCTTTCACTTTTCTCTTTTTGTCTTGTTTTCTATATTCCATAACTTTCTATTTATAATGAACAATTCCATGGTTCATTTCTTTGTTTTAGTAGTGTATCTCCTGCAGCAGCCTCTTTAGGAACTTCATCTAGGACATGAGTTTTTGTAACTTGCATGTCACAGTATTTTGGGTTCTACCTTAGCAATTTATTGCCAGTGTCTGACTATAGTATTCTAGGTTGAAAACGGTTGTCTTTTAGGATTAGAAGGCAATGTACCATTGTCTGCTATTGCTTTCTATTTCTTTCTGCAAGTTTGTTGGTTCTTAATTTTGGCCCTCTAAAATTTCATGCTGTGGTACTTTGGGGGCATGTGGTGGACCTTTTTAATCTGTAAATTTATGTTTCTCTGTCTTTGGAATCCCCTTAAATTCTTCGATTAATGGTTTCCTTCCTCCATGTCTCCTATTCTCTCTAGCTAAAATGCCTGTTATTTAGATATTGGCTCTTGTGGGCCCATCATCAAATTTTCTTATGTTCTCTCTGAATTTCACGTTTTTGCTCTATTGTCTGGAATATAGTCCCACTTTGTATTTTTGCTCTACTATCTGAAATATATACCCTATTCTAACTTTCAAGCCTAGTATTTTGTTTTTTATTTCTTCTATGTTTTTATTTTTAATGACACTACAACTTTTTGTTTTTGTATTCTGAATATTCATCTTAATCTTTTTCTTTAGTAGTATCTTCTTCCTGTTTCATGTTTCTCCATCTTTTTATCTCTCAAGTTCTTTATCATAGCTTTCATTGTTTTATTTTTTTCTACACAGTTTTATTTTCTTCAGTTTGCTTTTTAAATTTCTTTGTTTTGGACTTTTTTTAAGTAAAGAGATTTTCCTCGGATACCTGATATTTCTTTATTTACTGCTAATGGAGATTAAAATTGAAAGGAAAGTCTGAGAGCGTACAGGTTAGACTTTGTCAATGTAGGTTCAGTAGAGAAATCTGCACCATACTGTTGGGTCATCCCACAGCACTATTTTTAGGTCCTTACTTTGGGTCTTATCATATTGCCCAAGGACAATTTCCCATGCTCAGTGCTTAGCTAGAAGCAGCCTAACAGAATACTAAAACCCAAGTTGAAAAAAAAAAAGCTGAGATTTTCAATATCTAATCTGCTTTCATTAGTTTTACTACTTTCTTTTTTGTATAGACTTTACCACCTCCATTCATATTTGCAACTGTGCATGAATTTTTTTTTTGTACAGAGATTTTGGGTTTATTTCTCCAGAATATATAAACTTCTATCCTTCTTCTCTTATGGGAAGGTATATTTAGGTTCTCCTCCTTTATTCCTACTTCCATGGAACCTAGAAAGCCTGATTCCTGAGACCCTGAGAAACTGTCGTATGAATCTGTTCAATTCCTAACCTATCTAAACTGCTGCTTTAGGATTCAGCATTCTTCTTTTTGGTTAGTCAGTTTTCACTTTTTCAACTGCTTCCCAGTTTTTAAAATTTTGTTGCTTGTTATCTCCTCTACAGTTTTTCATAATTTTCTGAATTTTATAAATAAATCAAAATTTACTATTATATGTTTATTCTTCCATTTTTACTCAGAGTTTTTAACACTGGATTTCTTTATTTCCACTCTACAAACAAAATTATTATTTTTAAAATAGAAATTAGATTAGTCTTTGCTTAAAGGCCTTGAATCACCTCCTAATTTCTTACACATTGAAAAAATAATAATAATATAATTTTCCAAGACTTTCTGAGACCCAGTTATTGCCTTCTCTTTTCTATTATTCCATTTCCTGTTACTCATTGTGCTCTAATCTATGGTTGCCAGAATAAACAAATGAAAATACACCTATTACTTGGGAGAAATACCTACATTTTTAAAAGTGCATTGTGTATCTGGAATTCAAACATAACTGGAAGTCTTATATTTTCTCTGCAACCCTACATAGTGGCTATATTCATCTGTTTTCACTCTGCTGAAAAAGACATACCCGAGACTGGGCAATTTACAAAGAAAGAGGCTTAATGGAAAAGTCACAGTTCCACATGGCTAGGGAAGCCTCACTATCATGGCAGAAGTCAAGGAGGAGAAGTCAAGGAGGAGAAAGTTGCATATTACACGGATGGCGGCAGGCAAAGAGAGCTTGTGCAGACAAACTCCCATTTTTTTTTTTTTTAAATCATCAGATCTCATGAGACTCATTCACTACCACAAGAACAGCACAGGAAAGACCTGCTCCCATAATTCAATCACCTCCCACCAGGTTCCTCCCAAGACACATGGGAATTGTGGGAGTTACAATTCAAGATGAGATTTGTGTGGGGACACAAAGCCAAACCATAACATTCCACCCTTCGCCACTCCAAAATCTCATGTCCTCACATTTCAAAACCAATATCATGCCTTCCCAACGTCTTAACTCATTTCAGCATTAACTCAAAAGTCCACAGTCTAACGTCTCATGTGAGACAAGACAAGTCCCTTTGGCCTATGAGCCTGCGAAATCAAATGCAAGTTAGTTACTTCCTAGATACAATGGGGGTACAGGTGATGGGTAAATACAGCCATTCAAAATGGGAGAAATTGGCCAAAACAAAGGGGCCACAGGCCCCATCCAAGTCCAAACTCCAGCAGGGCAGTCAGATCTTAAAGCTCCAAAATGATCTCCATTCATTCCATGTCTCATATCCAGGTCATGCTGATGCAAGAGCTGGGTTCCAGTGGTCTTGGGTAGCTCCACCCCTGTGGCTTTGCAGGGTACAGCCTCCCTCCTGGCTGCTTTCATGGGCTTGCATTGTCTGTGGCTTTTCCAGGTGAACAGTGCAAGTTCTCAGTGTATCTATCATTCTGGGGTCTGGAGGATGGTGGCCTCTTCTCACAGTTCCACTAGTTGGTGCCCCAGTAGGGACTCTGTGTGGGGGCTCCAACCCCACATTTCCCTTCTGCACTGCTCTAGCAGAGGTTCTCCATGAGCACCCTACTCCTGCAAAAAACTTCTGCCTAGGCATCCAGACATTTCCATACATCTTCTGAAATCTAGGCAGATGTTCTCAAACCGCAATTCTTGACTTTGGTGCACCTGCAGGCTCAAAACCACATGGAAGTTACCAAGCCTTGGGGCTTGTACCCTCTAAGCCACAGCCTGAGCTCTACATTGGCCCCTTTCAGCCATGACTGGAGCAACTGGGACACAGGGCACTAAGTCCCTAGTCTGCACACAGCACAGGGATCCTGGGCCTGGCCCATGAGACCATTTTCTCCTAGGCCTCTTGGTCTGTGATGGAGAGAAGCTGCCATGAAGACCTCTGATATGCCCTGGAGAGATTTCCCCATTGTCTTGGTGATTAACATCGGGCTCCTCGTTACTTATGCAAATTTCTGCAACTGGATTGTATTTCTCCTCAGAAAATGGGTTTTACTTTTCTATCACATTGTCAGGCTGCAAATTTTCCAAACTTTTATACTCTACTCCTCTTTTAACACTGAATGCCTTTAACAGCACCCAAGTCACCCCTTGAATGCTTCGCTGCTTAGAAATTCCTTCCGCCAGATACCCTAAATCATCTCTCTCAAGTTCAAAGTTCCACAAATTTGTAGGGCAGGGGCAAAATGCTGCCAGTCTCTTCACTAAAACATAGCAAGAGTCACCTTTGCTACAGTTCCCAACAAGTTCCTAATCTCCAAATGGGACCACCTCAGCCTAGACCTTATTGCCCATATCACAGTCAGGCTTTTGGTCAAAGCCATTCAACCAGTCTCTAGAAAGTTCCAAACTTTCCCACGTTTTCCCATCTTCTTCTGAGCCCTCCAAACCTTTCCAACCTCTGCCTGTTACACAGGTCTAAAGTTGCTTCCGCATTTTCAGGTGTCTTTTCAGCAGTGCTTCACTCTACTGGTACCAATTTAATGTATATTAGTCTGTTTTCATACTGCTGACAAAGACATACCCAAGACTGGGCAGTTTAAAAAGGAAAGAGGTTTAATGGACAACTCAACAGTTCCACATGACTGGAGACGCCTCACAATGATGGTGGAAGGCAAGGAGGAGCAAGTCTCATGCATGGCAGCAGGGAAAGAGAGCTTGTGTAGGCAAACTCCTGTTTGTTTGTTTGTTTGTTTGTTTGTTTTAAATCAGATCTTGTGAGAATCATGCACTATCACAAGAACAGCACAGGAAAGATCTGCCCCCATAATTCAATCACCTGTCACCAGATTCCTCCCACAACACATGGGAATTGTGAGAGTTACAATTCAAGATGAGATTTGGGTGGGGTCACAGAGCCAAACCATATCAGTGGCCTTCTTTAGGTCATTGAGCAAGCTGAGATTGTTTTCTTTTTCTTCAGTATCCAGTCCTCATGCCTGCTATTTGATCTATCAGGCATGCTCTTCCCTTGGCCTCCTCCAGATTCCTTTTTGCCTTCCCAATTTAAATTTCAAGTCTCTTTCTAAATGTCAGGTTCTCAGAGAAGCCTTTCCTAATCTTCCAAACAGGATTTGATCTCCCTACACTCACTCACCAAAATTCTCTATTTCTTCTTCTGATTATTAATTAAAATTAAATCTATTTTAATAATTACAGCCATTGCAGTGGCTCATGCCTGTAATCCCAGCTCTTTGGGAGGCCAAGGAGAGTGGATCACGAGGTCAGGAGTTCGAGACCAGCTTGGCCAACATGGCGAAACCCTGTCTCTACAAAAATTACAAAAATTAGCCAGGCATGGTGGTGGTCCCCTGTAATCCCAGCTACTTGGGAGGCTGAGGCAGGAGAATCGCTTGAACCTGGGAGGTGGACGTTGCAGGGAGCTGAAATCACACCATTGCACTCCAGCTTGGGTAACAAGAGTGAAACTTCATCTCAAAAAATTTAAAAAAGGCCGGGCGCAGTGGCTCACACCTGTAATCCAGCAATTTGGAAGGCCGAGGCAGCCTGATCACAAGGTCAGGAGATTGAGACCATCCTGGCTAACACGGTGAAACCCCGTCTCTACTAAAAAATACAAAAATTTAGCTGGGCGTGGTGGCGGGCACCTGTAGTCCCAGCTACTCAGGAGGCTGAGGCAGAAGAATGGCGTGAACCCAGGAGGTGAAGCTTGCAGTGAGCCAAGATCGCGCCACTGCACTCCAGCCTGGGCGACAGAGCAAGACTCTGTCTCAAAATAAATAAATAAATAAATAAATAAATAAATAAATAAATAAATAAATAAAATTACTAGTTTAAGCTTTGTCTATCATACTAGATTGTAAGCAACTTGAGAGCAGTAGGGGATTGTCTTGTTTTCAGCTGTAGCACAGTGCCAGGTATATTTTCTAGTTAATTAATAAATAAACAATACATATTATTTGAATGAATGAATGAGCCTAAGAAAATAAAAAAAACTGAGATAAACATTATTAAAATGCTTAAGGCATGGACTATGATTTATAATTTGTGTTATTGTATCAAACTACAAAATCATTTCAAAGTATTGCATACTCATGTTATCCTTGATCTATTTACTCACTTTAATCCTATTATAACTACTAGTTGATTCCGTTTTAAAATAAATTAACTAAAAATTATCTGATTTAATTTTAAGAAGATGAAATGCTCCAAGAATTATTAATGACAGAAAAGCTAGTCTAAAGTATTAAAAATAAATACATTTCGATGCCAGGTAGTGCTAAAAGATATGAAGAAAAGTAAAGCAGTGTAAGGGAATAAAGAGCAATGGGGGAGTTATTTTAGATATGGGAATCAGGGAAGATTTATATGTTAGGTTGACATTTGAGCAGAGATCAGCAGAAAATTTGAGATTAAGCCATGAGGATATCATATTGTTCTTTATTTACATTCATGTGCAAAGTAATTTTTTTAAATTTTGCAATTAAGAAAATATTTTTATATTAGAATATTATGAATTTTTATTTTGAAAATCTTTTGTTTTGCAAATATTTCCCATAATTTGCAATGTACTTTTCTCATCGTAGATTCGGTACTTATCTTTATTATAGTTGGCACGTTTTATTCTCCTTCGTTCTCAGTTTCCAGATTATGGCCTTTCAAACCTGCCTAGTGTTAGAATGAGACCCACGTGGGGCTACATATTCATGTTACAGAAAAAGAAGCTTTGAGACAACTGTGCTAATGGAATCACAGCTAAATTCTTTGCCAGTGATACTCAAGCTCTCAGTTATTTTCTGGCTGGAACAATAATTTTGGTTTATTCTTTCAGTCACATAGGTATAGGCAATCCCAAAGGGTCTTTCTGATAAAGGTTTCCAAATAATCATTTCCCTGGAGAGTTACAATTTGGGATGATTTAAAACTGAGAAGCATAGTTCAACCAGTCATCCTTCTTGCCTGTTATTACCTACAAACCTTGAGTGGTCCTGGCATCTGATTCTATGTGATTCCTTAGATATGTTGCATGCAGGCAATAATAAACTTTATTTCCACATACAAATTCTTCACCCCCAAAGTGAAAGTCTGAGAGACAGAGAGAAACCAGAGATGCAAGTACCATTTGAAATGTACCTGAAAATCAGGCTGCAGCAAAAATGATAACCCCTGCAGTTTGTAACATCTTAATTTCAAATTTAATATACAATATATCACATTTTATTACCTACATTATAAACTTTTTGTTTATATGGAAAAGATCACTTCTCCACATTCTTAAATAACTGCTCATAATAAATAGAGCATACATCATTCTAACTATAAATGCATTGCCCTACAATAATAGCTAATATTGAGTGTTTAGTAAGTATAGGTGTAACTTGATTAGATAGATATGTAGGTGACAGATAGATAGATAGATAGATAAAAGTCGATTGATTTTTAGATATAAACTTATTTAAACATCACATTAACTCTTATAAAGTGAAGTTTAAGATATCTCCATTTTACAGAGGAAGAAACTGAGGTACAGCAAGGGCAAACAATCTGTCCTAAGTTATAGAAATAATAAGCAATAGACCCTCAATTCGAACCCCAATACTCTTGACCCAAAACTATTTTACAGAATATCAGTCATGATTCTATACTGACACAATCTTTCAGTTAGTTATTCTTCTGTCTAGCACCTCTCAAGATCCTATTTCTTCTTTTATCAATCAGACCAGTTGAATAGCATTTTTTTGTGATTCACTTCTTCACCTGCCACACATACGAAAAAACCCTCCAAAACCTTGCCCTTCATTCCAAGCCTATCCCTACAGAATGTCAACAATTCTACCATTTGTAGATATTGAGCACAGATTTTGGATACCATCTTAGTCCTGAAACAAACATTGACTAACAAGAACATTAAATACAATAATAATTGACTCAACACATCCGTTTTCCTTTTTAACATTACTTTTCATTTTATATTCATAATAAAATGTGAGAATAACTCTGGTTCCCAATGATTTAATTAATACTTTTTCATCCAGGCAGTGAGACTAAGACCTGGTAATGCATTAATCTTGTCAGTCTCTCTTTACATTTTTTTCTATTTCTATATAATAATAATAATGGGACATTATTAAGCCAGGGTTGAAAGATGATTTTAGAGGCCTCCAATATGAATCCACTAGATATTTACACAGACTGCTCAAGTTTTAGAAAGAGAAAAAAGTTACTTAGAGAAAAAGTGAGGTATATGTTGTAGAACACATACTAAAGACAGTGAATCTGGGTCTACTCTCATTTCCATTTCTCACTTGTGTGGCAAAGTTACTTTGTTCATCTGTTAAATGGGAATGTTGAATTTTAGTACAGAGGCTCATTCCTAGGCTAAAATTATATTATTTCCATATTATTACAAAGCGAATGAAGTAACAAGTTGTAGTGGTGGTCTGTCTTCCAGAATTGATAACTAGTATCATATGATTTTGACTCCAAAAAAAGCAAAAAAAACCAAGACATTTACTCAAATGGTATTATAAAGTTGACATAGTTCAGAAAAAGAGAATCACTTAAAAAGCAACTACATACCCCCTCTCACCCAGCTCCGAACCTCTGCCACCCATCTTTGATGGCTTCCTTAATTCTTAGTCATTTATATTATAAAGTTCATAGATAAGTAGGGATTTTTAAAGAAATAATTTCTCCTCTTCCTAAAAAACATGGATGAGAAAGATCCTCCAACTTTTCATCCCACAAATTACTTTTGAACTAGTTTCTGAGGCTTCGTTCACAAGATCACGCTTGGCCACTGGCTACTCATGCTTGTGTCAAATTTTTCTTTTCTGTCATTCTCAACTTTGCCTATTGGAATCACTTGGGGATCTTGTAAAACTACTTATGCCTGGGTCTTAGCCCCAGAGAGTCAGATCTATAGATCTGCTGTGGGGCCTGAGCATTGGGATTTGTTAAAGCTCCCCAGGTGGTTCTAAGGAACATCTAATGTTGAGAATTCCTCTGAGTTCTGAAAATATGTGAAGGATTCAGTCACTGACTCAGTTAATGTGCCGTGTTCACTTTCTGTATCAGCCTCTATGCATCATTCCTGGTGCATTCTGAGTTAAAAGAAAAAAGCATACACTATTCATTTATGGCTATAAGGAAATATTGCTATTTTAAAATAAAGAAAAATATTGCACACTTTTCTATATTTTGGGGGACCTATATAATTACTCTTAGGTAGAAAAGGCTTTTTTTCTTTTAGAAAAGAATTTTTTTTTCATTATGAAAGGCAAGGCATCAGGCAATGTTTGAATGACAAAACAGATAACCATAATTAAATGTTTTCCATAATAAAGTTCATATTTGTTCTTGCTGATATAAAGAGATTATTTTAAGGTATAATAATTTCAGCTTTGAACAGGTAGCTCCAAATGCAGGATTGCGTGTGTGTGTGCGCGCATGCATGCATGTGTGTGTGTTTGGATTGTTTGTTTTGCAGTTTGTTTTTCATTGCTGTTTTGTTGTGGGGAGGGGTTCTTCCCCCCTTTCTTCGAGCTTTGCTGGGTGTGGGGTCAGCAGTGGTGGTGGAGGATGGAGAAGTAATGAAGTGGTTGTGGATGGATAGTATAAAAGAACTAGGAGAGAAGAATTTGCAAAGCCAGAATGGGTCCCAGCAACATGGGTACAGATCAAGCCCAAAGGAAAAACATAGCTACAATATTATTTTAAAATTCCCTGAGACAGTGTGTGATTAGTAAATCTAGAAAGAGCAGTTTCCTCTTCTATGCTGTAATTTCCCTAATCCCAAATCTTTAATACAGCTTAATCAACTACTAACCTAATAATGGCTCTCTCTTCCCTTTGCTTTGGAGACTAAAATCTATATCTACAATTTAAGGTGAAGCCACAGAAGAGCTGGAGGAATATGTAGAGTGTTGGAGAGGTAGCCAGAATGGTCAGGGAGAAGCCAGCCAAAACCAGGAATTTGGCAGTGGAGCTGAAAAGTTAACAACCGAGATATATAAGCACGATCTCCAAGAATTCGCAGAAATATTTGGGAAGAATATAAATTTCTTTTAGTCTAAAGTGAAATTGGAATTCAAATTATTTTATTAAAGAATTAAAGAAAAATTTGCTCCCACTGAATGCCAGAGGGCACAACTGGGTTATACTTTGGTATATTCATGAAAGGGACAGAATTCTTTGTACAGAACTGTCATTTATCTCTTCCACAGTTCCATTACTCTTTCTGGGGCAGATATATCACAATGTACAGGAAAAAAAAATCCATGGAGCTTTCATTTTATAATGGAGTAGAAGAGCTTAACACATACCCTTAACTGAATAGCTAAGATCTTGAGAGAACTCCAGGTTTCTATATTATTGTTGTGACCTATTTGAGCCCTATGAAAAGTCCTGTGGCATTGCAATGGTTTTTTTTTTTTAATCTAAAGTTATAGTTGCTTCTTGTTGTTTTTGTAAGTGAGATGGAAACCCTATCAAAAGAAGAAAACAAACCATAAATTGTCCAACATTAGGCCAATTACAGGATGCTAAATAGTTTGCAAGTCTGTAAACAAGGTATAGTTTATTGAATTACTGGTAGTTTGTATTCAGATGGTATTTTTTCTTCCTTTAAAGGTCTTACAATAAGATATGCTTAAATTCTTAGAGATGACCAGTTTACTAGATTCATGAGATATTTTTGATGATAGGCTCATTTTCTTTTTTCTTAGAGACATGTTATTTTTATAGAAATATTATAATTTTCAGCCTAGTGGTTCCAAAAATACATAAAACACAAAGTAAGTAAAATACAAGAAATCTATGGTTAGCTGTCTGTGTAAGAATTATTACAATAACATTAAAAATGCAAATGATAGGGCCCCAACTATAGTAGGGCAGGGATAAGGAACAGAAATCTGTTTTTTTTTTAGAAAAGTACAAGAGAAATCAGGTTTGAGAAACACTGGGCTGTATGATAGACCCCTCAAACAACCTATAGCTGTGAAGCTTCAATATATTTTGCTGCTAAGAGCAAATGCATCTATTATGCTTCTGTTGTCTAATAATGTTCCTTTTCACTTGAGAGTTTTAAATTTTCTCTTTTCTCCTTTACAATTTAATCTTTATATCGCCTCCTTTATAGAATTTTTCTCTCTTTCTTGTTTAGTAGGTTTCTTAGGTGATTGCTTACAGGGTATTTTGTGTCCTGTAAGGAAAGATAGTAATTTCAGATGGAGACACAGAGAAGACAAACGAACTTCAATATGAAATGAGGTAAGATTCAAGTATTTATAAGAGAAGAATATTCCAAAGCACTCTGTAAAGTGTTATATGCTACATTCTATTGTGATTCTATATTTAGTTTCTAGAACCAGGCACATACAAGAAGTGTAATACATATTTGTTGAATGAATGAATGAATGAATAATTCATGAATGAATGAATGAATTAGCGAGCAGCATAGCATACAAGCCAATAGAAAAGCCTCTGGAGTTAGCAAAACTTATCTGTCAGGGAGTTATACCTAGTAAGTCATTGAATTTTTGTTTCGTTAGACCAATGTACATTTTAGATATACTACCAGGATTTTACAAAATCATAAACTAGAGCAAAATTTTAAGGAAGGCATTGCTGCACACACATTAATATTAGAGGCACCATATTATCTCTAAAGTCATGAAGGGTAAGTGTCACAGAAAAATATGCCGTTGGATTACCTTTAACATGTACCATTAGAACGTGGTCCACTCACATTCCCAAGTTTTGAAATATTTTTTTTAAAAATTGCTTATTTTGTTCATCTTTTCTTATAATGATCGATTTTCCTCTATTGATATCAGACTTAGGATAATTTTATATATGAACCATCACCTTTCTTAATCCATTCAAAATTCATAATCTATAAGAAACAAAGTTCATTCTTATTATTTTTAATTGCTTTGAAAAATAAGAATGCTATGTTTATTATTTTTCATTGCTTTGAAAAATAATACTTTGATGCAAAAAATAATTACATCTGAAAAAGAGGAAGAGTGTGGTTATTAATAAAAATCTGTAATTGAACTAGAACAATAAAATAAAATTTCTAAAAACTTTATTGTCTTCCTTCCCATTGTTTCATAAACAAAGATATAAGTGTTATTGAATAGGACAGAAATCCTCTTTCTTGGAAGAAATCTGTCAGTATTTACATTTCTGGAACAGAAAAGAGCTAATTCAAACCAATGCTCTACCATTTGCTATCTAATATACAGTAGAAGAGGCCAGGTAGGGTGTTCACTCCTGTAATCCTAGCACTGTGGGAGGCAAAGGTGGGTGGATCACTTGAGGCCAGGAGTTCGAGATTAGCCTGGCCAACATGGAAAAACCCTGTCTCTACTGAAAATACAAAAATTAGCTGGGCATGGTGGTGCATGCCTGTAATCCCAGCTACTCGGGAGGCACAAGAATCACTTGAACCCAGGAGGTGGAGGTTGTAGTGAGCTGAAATCGCTCCACTGCACTTCAGCCTAAGTGACAGAGTGAGACACAGTCTCAAAAAAAAAAAAAAAAAAAATAGAGAGAGAGTAGACGAGTTATAAGGTCTGAATGTGCACTTTAAGCTGAAATATAAATGATGAACAGGAGCCAAATACAGGAGTATGTGAGGAAAGATCCTTCCAAGCTGAAGGAATAGCAAGTGCAAAGCAATAGGCAGGAATGAGCTTGGTGTGTTTGAGAAACATTAGGAAGTTATCCCTGATGAGTTAGAAGTGCAGTCGGTGTGGTAGAAAATGGTAGGTTTCAAAGTTTAGAGGCCCAGCAAAAGCCAAAAATATACAGGTCTGTGGGCATAGTAAGGGTTTGGATTTTACTTCAATTGCAATGAAAGCTATCCAGAAAGTTTCAAATAAGGATAAAATGTAGATTTGAGGCTTATATTTTTAAAATATTACTCTTCCTGCTTTGGATATGACTTATGAATGGTCAAAAGAAAGTTCTGCTAAGAAGCTACAGCAGGAGTACAAGATTGAGATGCTCTTGATTGGACTTGAGCAGCCATGAAAAGGGTGTGTGCTGGTGGTTATCTTTTGATGTGTTATTTTGATGTGTTACTCCTTCTGCCATCTTCCCTGTACTGTGGTTTATCCCCAAGCCCCTCACCAGCAAGTCTGTGCTTTAGACTCTGCCTATTGCAGGCACTGACAAAGATTCAGAAGGAAAAGAGTTATAATTCATTATTTCTCCTGCAGTAGTGCAGCAGCTCAGACTCCTGGAGTGGTGGCAGTGGAACGCTTCTTAAAATCCAAACTCCAGTGGCCCTGTCCTGCTTTGTGGGTGAAATTTTGGCATCGACTTCTTGCAGTTTTGTAATTTCTAGATAGCATTCCCAGTCCTTACAGTGACTTCTCTACCCTCACCAACATTATTTCAAACAACTGATCTTGGATTAAATCGGTTTGAAATATATAGATTGATTTTTTTCCCCTGACTGAACTCTGACTAATACAGTATTTTTCTTTGTCCAGTAGTAGTTCCAAGAAATTGTCCTGCAAAGATGGGAACCTGGGAGAGATTTTCTGTCCTGGATGGGTTTGATCAAAATTATGACCTCGATTCCAGTATAAAATGGGATGTCAGTCATACATAGCATTTAGACAAAGTAGCCATCGAGTGAATGACTGCCAGGGCTCTGTGGTGGACCCTGGCTACACTGGAAAATGACATAAAGAAAATTTTGAGTTCAGTGCTTTAAATTCTTCTTGTCGAGTTATGAGCAGAGAACCAGAGTATTTCAATTACCACCCTAAAATAATCTCTTCTCTCTTATTTACAAGAGATAGGATGGCCAATATGGCAAAGACCAGATACAAAATTTAACTCTGTGGGTTTGAAAAATTACAATGTAAATTGAATTCAGAATATTAATAGGTCTCTTATTTGAATTTTTTTTGCATTGAATAAAGGGAATAAGACACAGGGAGCTGGATGTGGCATATTTCAGCTGACAGATAAATCTGTTAAACTTGAACCTCTAAGTCCCACTGTGTGTCCTGGAGGAAGCAGCCCCTTCTTCCTTGAGTCAGAGGACAAATCCTTTCCTATCTTGTCTGAAGCAGTTATCTCACAGAGTGGCCAATCCCTTCAACATCCACTCATCACCTCTCATTGTCTCTAGAACCATAATTGGAACATGGCTTAGGATCAAACACACACAATGTGCCTGAAAGAGAACACATTGCACAGAACCTGAGTTGTCACATGGGAGTTCTCAGCCTTTGACTTACATTCTATACCTCAACCAGTTCAAACAACTGAAGCCCTTTGAATGAACTCTGAGAATCTGCCAAAAGTATTTATTGAAAGTCATCCTCCTAACCTTCCCCAAAGGGACCTATAGACATTTGCCATGGTCACTGTGCACTGAGGAGGAGGAAATACTTAAGCTTTCGAAAGATTATTCCATATTTAATCTCACTTGACACTATTTCCCAGGAACGAAACTGCCTCTATAGTCTACCAGTCAAAAAGGGGATTTCCAGGAGTCATGTGATGAAGATTTAGCTCAAATCCATCAGAGGTGGATCCAGATGATCTGTCAGTCTCTCTCTTCCAAGTCTTTAAAGGTAGCATTAATCTGTGTTTTCCCCAGAAATGTGGTATTACATTTGTTTTTATTATTTTGATAGGGACAAAAATTTCCAGATCCTTATGCTTGGCCCTATCTATTATAATGGTTCTATTGTTTTTTCCTTGCTTCAAACTGGGGAAATAATATCAAATTATTGAAAGAGACATCTTTATATACTTGCCTCTTTAGTCTGTGACAAGATAGGTAGGTCATAGAAAAAAATAGCAAACTACTTTGAGTAGGCAGTGACACTGATTGCAGTTGGTGTTGCAAGTGTGATCTCTTTGCTACAGCAAATTAACATACCCATTCTCATTAAATGTGCAGATTTCGGTCTGGCAAGTGCCCCCTCACCAGGATTGTAATTATTAGACCATACTGGCAGCAGTGAAACTTCATTCTATTATTTGGGGAATGTGTCCATTTTCTGATTATCTTTCATACTCCAATGTTCAGGGCACTTGATCACACACCGTCCCACAGGGTATTATACTGGCCTAATACATTTATGACATCCTGGTCAGACCTGGTAAGAAGGAAGCATAAATATCCTAAATGTGTTGATAAGATATATCCATGCCTGAAGGAAGAAATAAATCCCGTGAAAACTCAGAGACCTGTCATCTTCATGAGGTTCTAGGAATCCAGTAGAACTGAGGAATTCCCAGGTATTTCTTCCAAAGTGAACAACAAGGTGCTTTGCCTTGCATCTCTATGACACAGAAAGAGATGATGAATGAGCTTCTTTAAATTTTGCAGGCAGTGTGCACTTCGTAAAATACGCTGTTCTGAATCATATAACAGGAAGTTTTGACATTAGGCACGATAATGGCCCTTCATAGATGTCCAGGTCCTCTGGAAGCTGTGTATATGTTGCATTACCTGGCAAAAGGGATTATGCAAATATGATTAAGTTAAGGACCTTGAGTTGGGGGAGATTATCCTGGATTATCTAGGTGGGCTCAATCTAAGCAAATGGGACCTTAAAAACAGAGACTATTTCCTTCTGTTGCAAAAGAAGGACATGTAACTATGAAGAATAGTCAGAGATGTAGCAAGGCTTGATTTGAAGATAGAAAATCAGGGAAGATCATAAAGCAGGGAATGTGGGCAACCTCTAATAGCTGGAAAAGCAAGGAAATGATTCTCAACTAGAGCCTCCAGAAAGGAATGCAGCCCTGCCAAACCTTGGTTTTAGCGCAATAAGACCATCTTGAATTTCAGACTTACAGAACTGTAAGATAAAATTCATTTTTTGTTGTTTTAATCCACTAACTTTGTAGTAACATGCTACAAAACAATGGAAAACTAATACAGGGCCACAACAAGAATAGGTTCTAAAGCTGGAGCAGGTATAGTGCAGCTGCTTTCCTGCTTGGGCTTTAAAACCCGGCAGATAAAAATGTGCTCCAAACGTCTATTGCAGATAGGAATGCGATGGACTCTCTGGGAATCCTGAGAGAAGAATCATGATGCAGGCTCCTACAGCTTTTGATTGCAGCTATGCCTTCTTAACACACATAACTTATTTACATTTTGAAAATCAGCTCCTGGGCATGTTCCTAAGATCTGGTAAAGCCTGGGTTCCTGGCATTCCTACCGTGAAATGCCAAGAGCATCTGAAACTAATCTGCCCGTCTATAAACTCATTGTTATCTGATCCACCAAATCATAAAGTTGCGTGTGCGTCACAACACTCCATTCTCAGGAGGAGTTAGATAAGGCTTTAGCAGTGTCTGAGAGCACAAGAAAGTTTCATATATATTTAGTTCAGAGTCTTGTGGCACCTGTTTCCCCTGCATTATCCTATCACTCTCAAACGGCACCTTTTTGTAAGTCCCCATGACCACTGAATGGTTAAGGAAAAAAAAAAAAAAACACCTCACCCATATCAACCAATATTCAGTGAAGTTCCCTACTAGAGAGGAGGTTCTTAATAATCAGGTAGACAACATAATCAGTTTTGAGTGTTATCACTCAGTCTTTTTCTATAGTTTATGAGAAAAAGCACCTGTATTGGCAAGATTGTTAAAGTTATGTATAGGTTTAGCAATATGACATTCCTTTTAACAAGCCTTATTTGATTCCTCTTCCTGTTGTATTTCCAACCTGCCAACAGCAGAGATCAAGGCTAAGTTTCTAATATAATTCTACTACCTAAAGGACTGACCAGTCACCTAGGGGCAGGACAATTAAATTAGAATCCTTATACCATGGAGGAAGCAAATTTTCTCTTCACTGTAAAACATACTTATTCAGGATGTGAATATATCTGCCTTGTCCACAATGCTTCTTCCAGCACCATTATCCATTCTCTTATTCATGATTATGGTAATTTACACAACATTGTTTCTGTCTAATGCTTTCCAATTCTAACATGTATCTCATCATCCAGAAATAGTCTGCCTTATACAGTGTCAGAAGACCTGTTCAAGATTCAGATATGAGTCCAGTTGAAAGAACACTGTGTCTCTAGGGTGCTGTCCTACAAATGCAAAATAAGCTTTGAATATTATTTTGATACTATGAACATTGAAAGGAGCTGTTTATTCTAAAGCTAAAACAAAAGGGTCTTGGAACCAAGGACCGGAAGCTGGTAGGAGTGGCTTCTATCTCTAGCACACCTACTAAATCTCTCAAAAAATGTCCCTTGATCCCAGAAATTTAGATGCTCATATCTTAATGTAACTAATTACCAAGAAAAGAATGCTTCCGTTATGAAATACAACAATGTTTTGATGGAAATAAAATTGGCACCTTTTTGTGGTATGCTTCATCTCAGCTCTGTTGCCTGCCTTTTCCTCCTTCTTATCCATGTATCAAGCTATGGTGTATATGTGTATAAATATAAACTCTTGGTTCCGATTGCAAATTCTTAGGAAAGCATATCTGAGTGTTCCTGCTGGCATCAGACTCTAACTCCAATCTTATTAGCAGGGGCCAGGGTTCCACTAATCAATGTCAGAAGCCAAAGAGAAAAAGGGGTCATCATTGTCTATTTGTCTCAACACCCAGGTAGTAATATTCATTATCTCATTAAATCTTCACATAAAATGCAACCGAGGTGTTAACTGAGAACTTCTTGCCCTTTGAGTTACAAGTATGATTAACTTGAAGCTCCAATTCCATGCTCTGTGGAGGTTCAAAGTTTTTTTTTCCCCTAAAATGTTAGTAAATTCTCAAGAGACATATTCTCCATCTGCAGGGTCCTGTTTCCATACATGTGTCTCTGCTCCATTCTACTCTAACCCAACTGTAAAGCTCAATCACTTATTTAATTTTCACTGAAACAAAACTATTTACATACATCATGCTCCATACAAAGTGTTTAGAAATATAGAAAAAGTCACCTAACAGCAAAACAACAGCAAATCCCATTGTAATTTCTCTCATGAGATTTTTAATAAGGCCATCAATGGTCCTTTAATTCATGTATTGAAAAATTACAATGTAGTAATTGTAACAGGAGTTACAAGAATGAGATGCTTTTGATTGGACTAGGGCAGACGTGAAAAGGGTGTGTGCAGTGGTTACCTCCTTCTCCTTGGTCAATTCCCATTCAGAAAGCAGAAAATCAAAACATAATCAAAACATCAAATTTTCTTATCCTGTACAACTTAACTCTCTTTTAGCTGTATTACTAGGAATACCATGTTCAAATTCAAAATATTTATCAAGTTTTTATCTTCCTCCAAAGAGAAAATCTCTTCTTCAAAAATCTATCAGCCATTAAATGATTAATGACATGATAAATTTATTAAATGATAAACAATAAATTCTCACATAGCTAAATGATCATGAAACATTGGAATAATTATCTTTTTTTCTTATCTCTATTTTAAAGAAGAGTAATATTAGACCAAGCAGTGGTAAATTAAATGCCACATTAGGAAGAAATGGAATTTTAATCCAAGTATATTTTATTCCAAGTTCATGCTGTTTTCACTGCAGCAGACTTCTTCCCAGATGTTTATTGAGGCCTTGCTATATGCCAAAGACTTCATATATTACACTTCATTTATTCTTCACAATAACCTTGTAAAGTCAGCAGTCAAGATATTTAAAAATCTGGCATCTAGTCAAGATATAGTCTAACTCACTGTGGCATGCTTTCAAATCTGTTTCCCTATTAGTAAAATTAGACATTTGGACTTAATTATTTGGGTAGCCACTTTTGATACTAATCTTAGGGGATCATATTATGTTTTCTGTCATTCTTCCTCACTCTGTAATAATAACTTTACTCTAACTTCAAAAAATCAAAAGGACTCTATTTCTAGCACTTATATATTAGAGTTAAATTTTTTATGTATGTATCTGTTATATTCTAGAGGGCAAACCAAATAATATTTTTATGTTCCCAATGTCTGTGTATAATTAAAGACTTAATGAATACTTGTTGAATAACAAATGACTACATATAACTATATAATGTTGGTCTGTATATGAGGGAATAATTCATATTTATTAACAGGATAATACTCAGTCCAATTTAAGGGAAAAACTCCTTTTCTGGATAGATTTTATTTTAACAAGTGTAGACAGACACAAAGACATCTGTGTACCAAGTTGAAAGTGAGTACATTTGTGAATGGGGAGTTTGTTCTTTGTTTTTTGTTGCTGGTTGTTTTTTATTTGCTTATTTTATTTTTTTCTTTCTTTGTTCATATTGAAATATAAATATGAAAAGACGTCTTGTGTTCACATTGGCCATTCATTGGCTTAATTTTTATGTTATCCCACAATGAATTTATACATGTGTTTTAGGTATTTTTCTATATACAAGATAAAGTAGCTTAATTATATTTTGAAAAATAAAAAATAAGAGAATTTGACTTCTGTGGGACTGTCTGTCCATAATGAACTCTTTGGAAAACAAATACTTATATTCATTATCTTTGCTATTAGTTATCTGTACAATTCATGCATATCTTCTATGTGGAGAAATACATAATTTTTCATTGATGGGATTTAGATGAAACAATTAGTAAAAATTTCGATTGTACTTTTTCTTTGTTTTCTCTATTTTGTTGTCCAAACACCTCCTGAACACAGGTTACATGGACAGCAGTGTGCCATGCTGTGGGGCGTCATGCAGATGACAGCGTCTGCTTGACTGCATTTCTGGAGGAGAGTCAATTGATTTTACACATATGTGCATGAGAGCTTAGAGTGCATTAGCATATTCTTTTACTAAAAATAAATAAATAACTAGGAAAATGGTTCCAAAAATCAGTGTTCATCTTGTTAGCTGTTGAATTTTTAAGCTGTTTTGTAACAGAATGTTTTAGATGTAAATGTTATTGGCAATTAGGTTCGCTTATTTGCCTTTCTTGTTTTCTTCAGTCAAAAGCATTATCTTATAGATAACATTATTTCGTGGAGCTAACTGGAAATGAGAAGCGGGAAACAATTTTACCAGCCAGTGTGATTAGTGGAGATACATAATTGCCTGCCTATTTACTTTGAAGTTGTCATTTAATGAAGTGGTTCTAACTAAAGCTCTAATGGAGAAAAATTCTTAATTCCTTTTTAATATTTCCCGATGTCTGGGAATGTAATTTAAAATAAATTTGAATGTTGATTGTTAAATTATATTCTTCCCCATCAGCACATCAAGTTGTATCTTGGTTTATAGACAAGGAAACAGGTCATTTAAGATGTTCAAAGTAAACAGCCAATCATTAAAAAATAATCATAAGCACAACCAAAATGTCAATTCTTATACAGTAAACCCAATTTAAATGTTTATTTTTTCATCCAATGTTCTTCATATATTTATTCCAAAAAAGTTATAAATTCTCATACATTTCCTGCATCGTTATGTATTAAAATTCTTTGTTATGAAATAAAATAGGATTGCGTGCATAGAAATTATACAATCGATATGTTTAAATTTCTATTCAGCATCAGGCTAAATTTTAAATGTCAATCTCAAAGGTCTTTTACCATATGATTCCATTTATAAAACATCCCCAAATGACAAAATTATAGAAATGAACAGGGTAGTAGTTGCCAGGTGTTAGGAATGGTGAGGGAAGGAGGACATGTGTGACTATAAAAGGCTAATCATGAAGAAAGTCTTTGTGGTGATTGACTGGATCTGTATCATGACTGCAGCTGTGGTTATCTGAATCTACACATATGATAAAACAGCATAGCAACTACACACACACATTGTACAATGTCAATTTCCTGGCTTATGTCTACTCTGCTTCTATAGGATATAACCATGGGGGAAAATTGGTAGAAGGCAACATGAGACCTCTCTGTACTACTTTTGTAATTCCCATAAATCTATAATTATTATTTCAAAATAATAATATTCAAAATAAAGTTTTAAAACTATAATTGATGTAATATAGTGTAGTAGTTGAGTTCATGAGCTCTAGAAACAGATTGCCTGGATTGGAAACCTGGCTTTATCTTTTACCAGTTCGTTTCATTTCTTACCAGCTGTAAGACCTTGGATAAATCCAGGAAATTGAACTGCAGTTATCCTTATCTACAAAATGTAGATAATAATACTGCTTATGTCACATGTAAATAATTTAATACATTTTCTGACATATAAGAAGTTCTATTAAAATGTTTTTATCATCAACATCATCATTATCATTATCAAGATTATGAATTCCATGATTTATGAAATCATTGATTCAGAATTTGCCTTAGAGTAACAGTTTTTCAGAGACAGTTACTGTATAGGACTCTTGTCCCAACCTGCTTTATTATTGTTATTAATTATTATTATTATTGAGACAGGTTCTCACTCTTTCACCCAGGCTGAAGTGCAATGGCACAATCGTGGCCCATTGCAACCTCTGCCTCTGGGACTTAAGTGATCCTCTCACCTCAGCCTCCAGAGTAGCTGGGACCATGCTCGGTGCTCACCACCATGCTCGGCTAATTTTTAAATTTATTTTTATTTTTTTGTAGAGACAGGGTGTTGCCATGTTACCCAGGCTGGTGTCAAACTCCTGAGCTCAAGCAATCAGCCTGCCTCAGCCTTCCAAACTGCTGGGATTACAGGCATGACCCACTACCCTCAGCTCCAATGTGCATATTATTAGTGTCCTCTTTCATTCTTAAATGTGTCCTGTTGGGATTATAAGGCATATGATCACCTTCTTTAAAAGTTTATTACACTAAATTTAAATCCAGTACATGTTGATCCTCTCCTGCACCCTAGTCCATGTTGTATAAAAAACTCTGTCTAAAACAATCAACAATAAAAAACTAGTAATTTCATATGGAGCCTATTCTTTTTTAGGCATCACTAATTGTCAAAAGCATCTTTATATGATTGAGCTGAAGTCTGACTTCCTAAGATGATCCAAAACTCCTGTGATCCTAATCTGTCTTCTAGAGCTATACAAATAAGGTTAATTTCTCGTTTCATGTTATGCCTTTAATATCTCTGAAGCTAACTATACCCAGTATGTTCTCAATCCTGTCTCCTCCCTGCCCACCCACCATAGAATTAATTTTTGCTTAGGCTTAATATTTTCCATTCCATCCATCACTTCTAATAAGAAAATATCTTATTCTCATTGCTTTTCCCAGAAGTCATTACAATTTTCTCAATGTTTCTTTAAAACTGTGGTTTCTGGAGACAATACGACCTAGACATGGTCTATGTGCTGTATAGAGTGACACTATTGCCTACCTTATTTAAAACTTTGAATGCATTTATTAATGTGGTTTAATATCATGTTTGCTTCATCGGCAAGCATAACACATTATGTAGGTGTCTGTGTAATTAATATGTGAAATTGAATGCTATTACTTTCTTGACAAATCCCATATTCCATGTTAGAATAATTTTCCTGATTGTAAATAGTTAGATTATATATTTCATAAATACATAAATGAATATAGTATAATTATTACTATAATATTATAGTAATAGTATATTACTATTAGTAGTATATTATAATATATACTAATTATTATAGTAATAATAAAGTATATAAGTACATCAATAATGAATCAATACTTATTTGGAGTAAATTATATAAATTATATGTCAAATATATAAATTATTTAGTTAAAATCATAAGTAATACATTAATGACAAAATTATATTTATTATCATATATTATTTTATGTGCATATGTATAATAATCTACCTGAGAAAATGATCTCAAGTTATGTAATATTTTATCATGTTTATTGAAATGTAAATGATAGGGAATATAATACATACAACTTTAGTTTGGAGAGAATAAAAATATTTTCAAATAAAATGACTCTAAGCTTTC
This sequence comes from Homo sapiens, assembly GCF_000001405.40. Taxonomy (NCBI): domain Eukaryota; kingdom Metazoa; phylum Chordata; class Mammalia; order Primates; family Hominidae; genus Homo; species Homo sapiens. The sequence continues at coordinate 87,076,840 of NC_000003.12, forward strand.
ACCCTGAACATAATAGCAGGTGTATTTGGAGAACACGATGCTAATGAATGTCATATTACTCTTAGGTATATTTATATTAAAGACATTTTTTGTTGAAGCTAGCTTGTCTATTCCAATGCAAACAGGTTCTGCTACTTATAATTTTTACAACCTCCTTCTAGTCATAAACCATCCCAATATAGTCCCCATGGTTAGCTATATTTCGTTCGTGCCACCTTATAACAGCTTGTGTAGAGATATCTTTGCCATTCCTTCACATTATGATATATCTGAGTGCTACATGAGAGTGTCTGGGAATTGGGTAGTTGAGTCATCCCTGAGAAGATTTACCACATAGCAACTCATTGTTTACATTGCCTGCAAAGGAATCTCGGCAAAAGAAAAAAAAAAGGAATAACATGCTTCCTTTCACTTAGAATAAATTGACATGGTATATATTATACAAAGTGATTACTAATGAAATGAAAAATAGTATATTTGTGCTCATGTATAGAGAATAATGCATTATAATCAGAAGCCTCTTAAAGTATTTTAATAACACATTTACATGTGATTTTGGTGTAATCTTTTAAATTTACAGCCAAGGAGAGTAGTAGTAAGAAATAATTTTCTCAGTGTTGAGAACAATGACTAAACCATGTAAAAGGCATGACAAGTATGAAGCGGAGATCTTAGGCCTAAGTTCTTGCAAATGAAGTACCTGGACTTTATAGGAACAAAGTCAAAGGCTGGAATCTAATCCTTGCTCTGTCGCAACTAATCATACAACCTGAGAAAGTATTTACATTTACTGAGCTTCAGTATGCTCAAGTGAAAATTGGAGATGCTGAGATAATAGGTGTGAAAAACTCTTTGATAATTGTGAAAAATGTAAGATTCCTGCAGTATGAACAGTTGATTCAAATGAAACATTGAGCTTTGGAGAAAGAACTGGCAGATCAGTTGTCCAAAAGTCAAAAGATGGAAGTTCTATTGTCACTGATTCTTGTGTTTCTGGAAAAGTACCTTAATGCTTCCGAAACTTGGGTCTCTCATCAAAATACTAAAGTTTAATTAGATGATCAATAAGACTACTTTCAAACTCAAAGTTTGATAAATCAAAAATATATAATTGGGGTAGATATGCATAAAATGAGGTGTGAAGTTTTGGCAAGTAAAATTATTATAGAAAACAATGAAGAGATGAAGATTATAAGAAAAACATTGAGGCGAGAGAGGAAATCCACAAAGGAGATACAAGCTTAGACTAGTAAGAAAAGAAACAAAACATGTATTACCCAACAGGGGAAAAAGAAAGAATTTAATATTTATTGTACACCTTGTGCCTATCAGCCATATGATAGATCCTCTACATGCTATATCTGATTTCACTCTCACAACAAACCATGAAGTGCATTTTTACTACTATTATTCTATACATGAGATGATTTAGGGCCCAAAAGCCTGAGCCAGAGAGGGTGGGGCTACAGTTAATATCCAGGTAAAGTTTCTATCTTATGCTGCCTCTCACTTGCCATGAAATATGTGGAAGCCAAATTATAGTTATTAAAGAGAAAATGGTTGATAGTGAAACATACCCTGAAAGATTTCTGATAAAAATGTAAAAACCAATGGAGTGAGAGGAGTAACAGAAGCAGAAATGGGAAGGAAAGAGTAAGGGGCTTGGGTTCAATGAACACATCTGGCAAAGATTAGTTTGGGTAATAGATTGGAGTTAAACAGAAATAAATGGGCCATACTGATAAGGAGAACCCATCTGTGATCAGAGAATATGAGATTCCAGTGGATCTATTTGGGAGGCTATATTAATATGCTGTGGTAATACTTCTTATCTAAAGGACAGAATAAAGGGTGACAGCAATCCAGACTGGATATTTTCAAGATATTCACAGAAAAATCAAAGAGGATATAAGAGCAGACAATGTTGGAATAGTTGACCATGTATTCTCAGTTGGGTAGGAATCATGTAAAAGTATAAAGAACTGACAGGTTACAGAAACACGAAAGGAATAATCTTTATCAAAAAGATATTTCTGACAAAACATTTCACATTTTTGCTTTAGCTCTACAATCATAGGCACTTCTTGTTTAAATGAATGATTTAAAATCCTTCACCAACAGCAACAAGAATTTTTCCTCCACAGAGTTCTCACATAACCGATTAGAATTCGGAATAATAAAGTAAATAACATATTACATTGAACTACCAGTCAGCAAGTTGTCATTTTGCAGTCCCAACTAACAAAAAAAATGCACATACTAAGAATGGATGAAATATGAGCTCTATTTTTGTCCTTATTAACAATTCAGTAAAGCAAACTCTAATTTTTTTTTAAAATCCCCTTTTTATTTTTCTATACTCTTAAAAATCATGAGTTGTCTTTTATTATACGAATTTACTGCGTGCTTTTCTACAAGATTTTTAACAAGAGTGTAAAGATCGAGACCATCCTGGCTAACGGGGTGAAACCCCGTCTCTACTAAAAAAATACAAAAAATTAGCCGGGCGCGGTGGCGGGCGCCTGTAGTCCCAGCTACTCAGGAGGCTGAGGCAGGAGAATGGCGTGAACCCAGGAAGCGGAGCTTGCAGTGAGCCGAGATTGCGCCATTGCAGTCCGCAGTCCGGCCTGGGCAACAGAGCGAGACTCTGTCTCAAAAAAAAAAAAAAAAAAAAAAAAAAGAGTGTAAAAGATAACTTTATAACTGATTTTTATAGTTTAATAGTGTTCTGCTTTTCTTTAGTTAAAAAGACATTAATATATAATTATATGCCATGGCTACTACTGAAACTAGGCTTTTTGTTGTTCACTTCTGGGGAAAAAAATGCTAACCTCCCTTTCTGCTACTTATTCTCCCAATCTCTCTTCCCCATTCCCCATCTGATAAACACATACTTTTCTTTCCAAAGCCAACTTAGAGGACACCACTCTTTAGAGCCTTCTCTAACACCCAACAACAGTTAGCTTACAAAAAAACTAACCACTCTTGACTGTGCCAAGGTGACAGGCACTTTGGTGTTAGTTGTTAAAGGAACAGAATGGGGCTGGTGAGCCACCATCAAAGCCTGGCTCTGATATGAGCTGTGCCATCTTGAGGAAGTCATTACCCTCTCTGAGCCTCAGCTTGCTCAAGATAGATATCAATATTATAGCTATTGTTTGTATACATTTCTACATAGCATCTGATTAGTAATCATATATATGTAGGTATATATAATACGTTAGACAAATATTAGGCACATATATGCATATATTAGACAAATAAACTCAATCATGTATTGCCCCTATCCCCAGAATCTAACACAGTCCTCATAATAAAGAATGTAGCTAATAAATAGTTTTCTGAATTAGTAAACGAACAATAAAAACAACAGTAATAGCAGTCTATTATTTACTAAGGCCACTGGCCCATGGCATGTGTTAGCAATTGCACAATCTTATTTAACCTCAATAACCATTAAATAATTTATGGAGTATCTTCATTTTATTGTTGATATTGCTGAATTTTGGAGTTAAATAGCTTGTACTGCATCATATGATGAATATGAGCTCATGTTAGTCTGATGCCAAAACTGAATGAATAAATGAATGAATGAAACAAATGGGTTATTCAATCAAGTTAAGCCCACACATGACAGAGGAAGAGATAGCCAGATCCTACAATGGATCCTGCTCTCTGGCTTCTAGGTATGTGCTTTTCATGTGTGAAGTCTCTTTTACTCACATTCTAGCTCTCTTGGACCAGGAAAGATGGAAACAATGACTTGCACCACACATCACATGGAAGTACAAAGAAAATGTTTGTTTCCAGAAGCATATTCATGAAATCTAGTCTAAACAACAAAAAAAAATTATATTGTTTCCTCTTTTTTAAAAAAATGCCTCGTCAGCTGTAATCAAGTAAACAATTCACTTTTATATATCTCTTAAAAATAATCTAGGCCGGGCTCGGTGGTTCATGCCTGTAATCCCAGCACTTTGGGAGGCCGAGGCAGGCAGATCACGAGGTCAGGAGTTCGAGGCCATCCTGGCCAACATGGTGAAAACTCATCTCTACTAAAAATACAAAAATTAGCCAGGCATGTTGGCACATGCCTGTAATCCCAGTCACTCAGGAGGCTGAGGCAGGAGAATCGCTTGAACCGGGGAGGCGGAGGCTGCAGTGAGCCAAGATCGCATCATTGCACTCCAGCCTGGACGACAGAGCAAGACTCCATCACAAAAAAAAAAAAAAAAAAAAAAAAAAAACCAAACTTAAAAGCCACTTACTTGTGATTGCTACTTTTTAAGTTCCTTCTCTACAGTGTCTTAAAATGTCTAATCAGTTTTATAGACTTATATAATTACAGTCTCAAGGATTGAAAAATTTAAAAATCTTTCATCACTTCAAACATTCGGCAAAATCCTTTTCTAACTATAATGTCATTCTGTTTTGGTGCAAAGTTAGACTTGTTCCCAGAGTTGGTAGGCAAATTTTGATGGTTTTGAGGCTTTGTATGGTTTCCTTTTTTTCTTTGTTTTGAGACAGGGTCTTACTCTGTCACCCAGGCTGGTGTGCAGTAGTGTAATTATAGCTCACTGTAGCCTCCAACTTCTGAGTTCAAGTGATTCTCCTGCCTCAGCCTCGCGAGTAACTGGGACAACAAGTGCGCACCACCATGCCAGGTTAATTTTTTAAAATTTGTGTAGACACAGGTTCTTATCATATTGCCCAGGCTGGTCTTGAACTCCTGGCTCCAAGCAGACCTCCAGCCTCAGCCTCCCAAAGTGCTGGGATTACGAGTGTAAGCCACCACACCCAGCCCTCCACATGTTGTTTAAAAAGAAATAAGTCTTCCATGCTGAGATCTCACGGTTGGTGTGCTTTGGAGCAAGCTGTTCTCTCACAACGGTGTCTCTACCTTTCCTTTGAGGGGCATTTGAACTCCCCTCTCAGCGCCTGCAGGAGATTGGCTGTACCTAGCAACAAAATAATCTGTGCAGTCCAGATTGCAAAGAGGATGGATCATTCAATAGGTCCATCCATTACATGTGAAAAGATGTTCCTTCAGGCAAGCCTACCAACAAATCCTATATTTTAACTATTGTACTGACTCTGTTAATTTATATGTCTGTAGAGTTTCAGAATCCTCATCACATGGGCCTTTTAAATTTCCACTCTTCTGCCTGGAATATTCTCTCTTTAAATCTCATAAGGCCAGCTCCTTATTCAGTACTCAGTTCAGTTTCCCCCAGGAGAATCTTACCTGACCATGCCAATTGCACCCCAGTTTTCCCATATTTCATCATCTTCTATTATGTTTTTTATAACGCTTAGGACCATTTGAAGTAATTCTGTAATTTATTTATTTCTTTAACAGAATGTAAGCCTCTTGTTCACCACCAAGGTAACATCTAGGCCATAAATCAGCCAATAAATTTAAGAGAAAAGAGGCATTTTAAAAGACTGTGTTTTTCTAAGTTCTCATAGCAACTTGTCGAAAATTCTACTATATAATTTACTATTTGGAAATATATATATCTAATATTTTATATATACATATAAATTATTCCATTAGACCCTTACCTTAAAGAATGGTAATATTCTATTCATTTCATATACTGTATAGACAGTGTCCATCAAATATTTGTAGTTTTATTACATCTTTAACAAAATATAGTTGAACATAGCTATGTTTTAAGCAGAGCTGTGTTTTAAGCCAAATTATATGAATAATTACCTCTCACTGATCATGTGGTCTTCAAGGTGTTTTACTTCTACTAAAATTTTCTTAGTTCTTTGAACTTACTCTGTGTCCAAGAATGTGTATGTAAAGATAAAACTTAATAAAGTACCATTTCCTCCATCTCTTCACATTCTATATTTCTTTTGATAGCACTGAAATAAGGAGATCTTCACTAAATAAAATAAATTTCTGTGCTTGGCAACTAATAGAAAAGTGATAATAAATAATACCTATGTTACTAGTGCTTTAACTATTTTATATTCTATGTTTATGTTCTATGGAAACTCCATAGAGTTAGACAGGTTAAAATGTAGAATTAATTTTAAGTCACTTACTTTATGGTATAGAAAATGTCCTTCCTGATTCTGTGTCAAGAGGTGATTCCGTGTAGCTTGAGTGCTTTTGGATTCAAGAGGTTAAGAGTGACCTCTGGTGGCAATGGTATTTCTCACTCACCCTTACTCTAAAGGGGAGAAAACTGGCTTCCAAGATTGCTTTCCACATTCTAAGACTGACAGAGTTTATAGTTCAAGAGAATCGGTCATAATCAGTCATACGTAAGTCAATGTTTAACCTGCTTTTTGGGGGTTGGGGGTGGAGAGGCAGAAGGCAGAAGAAACCTTCGTCTCTAGTATTCGCTTATTTATTGGGTGCAAAATGTCTTTGGTGTAAATGCCAACCACGGCATTTCAAGCCATGTCAATGAGACATTCCTGAACACAGGGTTGCAAAAAAACTGGTTATCATCAGCTTTAGCCAGTGGGTGCAATCTGGTTCCAGCACACCATTGGTTGAAACCCTTTTTGGGGGCCCTTTACAACCCTCTCCTTGATACATATTCAAAGCTAGTCAAACTCACTGACAGCAGTGAGTTTTCTGTTATCATTATGGAGAGAACAATGCCTCCAGGAAGGAGAGTGGCTGGATAAATACAGGATCCCCAGGTAAATTTGAATAGCAAACAAAATGGCAATTTTTTTATTATAAGTATATCACAGCTATTACATGAGATGTCTTTATATTAATTTTTTTTGAGATTCACATTTAACTGAGCACATGTATTTTCATTTGCTAAATCTGACAATCTTAGAAGGATCACAGAATGAAAAGTTTAAGAGAAAATGAAATATTGGCCAGGTTTAGCAGCCTGTAAATGCTCTCAACTAGTGCTCTACAGCTGGTGGAGATCTCAACCAGTGATTCTAAATGATTTACACATGAGACAAGACAGATTCCCTGAGCCTTTGAGGCACCAATGGCAGGGCTAGGGTGTTCAGAGCCCCCAGCTATCATCACGTGCCTCTAGAGGCCCAGTCCATATCTCCCAGGGTAATGTGATATTATCCCATCTATGTTTGTCATTGCTTGAGGAAGGTTGGAAGGTTTTCTTCTACAGTGCTTGTTCCTTCTCTCTTACCTCCACTAAGGTCTACCCTAGTTGCCAGACACTGGTATGGCTCCAGACAGAATGTTCATAGAGTTCTCCAGTCTGGCAACATGATGGGGCTCAGCCATAGATCCACTGATGACCATGAAACTCTACATCACCCTGGTCCATCCTGGTGGCATCCCTGACTGGCCATTGAAGTTTCTGCCCTTCTGAAGGAAAGAGAGCACATCTTCGAGATGCTTGAGGTTCATAAAAAGGAATTTTCAGGAATTGAAGCAACTTTAATGAAAGCCAGACTTGAGAACACTTTAACAGAAATACAAAGACCTGGAAATCTCCAATTCTTTATGTTGGCTTTTTAAAAGTTACCTAGAAAAAAGACTGAAAGAAGAGAAATCTCAATGTTTAGAACAAGCTGGGCTGATAATAAATGTAACAAGAAAGACTCAGTGTTTTAATGGCAAATGGTGCATCAAAACATTTAAAATTTCAAGTAGCTGCTTCAACTACATTTCAGCTAAAACACTCTTCATTATACATCAGCAAAATGAAGCACAACTTCAGACATTAAAATGCTTTGATAAAAATTCTAATCATGAGGAAAGTATGAAGACTTTTTTATAAGCAGAAAGATGGGAAAGAAGAGTTAGTGAACACTAAATGAAATGCAATGCTATAAAATGCAAAAGTGGTATGGAACAAGTTCTAAAAGTAAAAATCAGATCAAATTTCTAGGTTAACCCTTGCTGAAGCTCAGTGATCTGACTGCTGTTATTGGAGAAGACGACATGGATGGTGGGAACTTGGAATTTCCTAAAACAAATGTTTCAGGAAATGGAGATTTCTTAGAAGTTTTGAAGAAATGGACTGATGTGGCCTAGTAAAACTTACTGTGGAAGCTGAATAATGTCCCCTACTCTCCCTGGCAAAGGTATCCATGTCCTAAGTCCCAGAACAAAAATGTAAATGTATTCTATTCACTTACATGTCAAAAGAGACTTCATAGATATAATCAATTTAAGTATCCTGAGATGGGGAGAGTACCCTGGGATACCTGGGTGAGCTCCAAAGTAATCACACAGGTTCTTGTAAAAGGGAGGCAGAAAGATCCAAGTCCAGGAAGGAAATGATGCAATGAAAGCAGAGGTTGAAGAGATGTGGTTATGAATCAAGCAACGTAGGCCACCTCCAGAAACTGTGAGAGAGAAGGGATGGATTCTCCGATAGCGCTGCTCGAAGAACTGCAGCCCTGTTGATACACTGATTTTACCCCAGGGAAACTGATTTCAGACTGCTGATGTCCAGAACGCAAGATAATAAATTTACATTGTTTTAAGCCACTGTTTGTGGTAATTTGTTACAGCAAGCATAGAAAACACACTTATTTTAACAGAGAAGAAATAAATGAAATGTACATTAAAATAACTGAAGAAGATAAAATAATCAATGTACCTAAATATTATATTAAAAGTATTAAACTGAGCAGATTTGCTGCAACCAAGAAATCATGGTCAGAAAGTAAAAAGCAATAGTTCCAGAAGATATTTCATGTCCTTCTTCAACTACATCAAGAAAAACAAATGGATTTTCATGAAATACACAATTTAGAGTAAATTTACCACAAAAAAATAAAGAAGAATCTTACCAAACCAATTGATAAAAACAGCCTTTCATGTTAAGAGCTAGACATGCCAAAATCTTTCAGAAACAGTGTAAATGATCACTGGCAAGTATCATCGTCAGCGTGTTTCCCATGAAAGAAAAGCTCATGCTAGCAGGTTGAGAATACTGATAACGAAGAGTAACTGATGAGTTCAGGAAGGAAAAATGGCAACTTTAGACAGGAAGTTTTCGAGTTAGAATTGAATATGAACATTTTGAGAAGTATCTTGATATCCCCGGTGTTCTAAATTGGACATTTGGCAGAGGCCCGAGAAGCCCACCAGGGAATGCTCTCTAGATCCCAAGGAAGGTGCAATAGTGTAGAAAATGAGGGTCTAGTGGCTATTAAAGATAAGATGCCGCCCCCCTCCCCCGCCCCAGTGTTAGAACCCTAGGAGAAGGAGATGCACCAGCGGCTCCACAAGGGAAAGACAGAGTACATCATGATGCTCCTTGTACTGGCATTTGCTGGGGACCTTCTTTTGATTTAACTCTCCCAAATGAAATGGAGAGGCTAGTCTTCAACTAGTCTACTCAATGAGTCTACAGCAAATGGTTTTTTTTTTTAATCTTCTAAAACAATTTTAATGTTTTTCTATCTTGGCAATATTAAGGACCACTGTTTAAGGGATTAGATGATAGTGCAAATAGAAATTTTAAAGGTTATAATTCTTAGCATAGTACTTTATTAATGTATACATATTTTATATTTATATTAGAAATGTAAATCTATAATGCATAAATATTTATATGTGAATCTGATTGTAAATTGTTTCTATTTTATTTTAATTTTAGATCATGTAATTATACTATTTTTTGGTTGATATTTAGCAAGACTCTTCTATGGCTCAGAAACACAGAAGTTTTTTTGCCTCTCTTCCAAAAGAAGAATTTCCTTTTGTTTAGTTTCACTGTTATTATACAAGCAAATGGAAAGGTGACAAAAATGTTAATTGTTGAGAATATTTTATATATCTCATTTATTTAAAAGTGAATTTCATGAGTAAATTATTCCCTTTTCTTCTATTTTGTAGCTAGTGTATAGATAGTATTTCAGTTGATGGTGTTTAAAAAGCCCCCTGTAATGTGCACTGTAGTAATGGTTTTATAGGAACAGTCTCACTTTTGGATATTTTCAAAATTCAATGTCCATTTGTGTATGCCAAGGGCTGAATTTGCTCTAGTTTTCAGATTAATATGTTTACATGAATAAATTTTAGTTTGAAAGAAATACATATCTATGTCTCTTATTGAGCTTCTCATAAGATCCAAATCCCCATTATGGCCTATAAGGCCCTGTGTGAGCTGGACCCTGCTGTTCCCCCAGACCTCATCTAGAGCTCTCTGTGCTCTGGGCACCCTGACCACCTACCAGAAGCTCCAAGGCCCCACGCTGCTCTTCTCTTTTGTTCACTCTGTTCTTTCTAACTGAAATCCTTTTCTGCTTATACTCTGCCCATTTTCCAATTGAAATTAATTTCAATTAAATTTCCCAATTGAAATTAATTCCTCCTGTTCCTCTTTTCATCCTATGCTTTTCCAAATTTCTTGGCTACCATTTATGACAATTTGTAATTATATAACTATGTATGCGATTATGTGTTGGATGTACATATCCATCCCACATCTCCACATAGTCAGGGACTGTAGCTTTTTTCTTCATTCACTTTTTCCAGTGTTTTTAGGGCAGGGGATGAAGGGGGCGCAGGGCATTTGGATAGGACAGTTCTACCTTGTGCATGCGTATTAAGTAGGTTTTGTGCAATACCCATGCATAACAAGTGACCTTCAAAACTTAGGGGCTACGATGACAAAGATTTACTTTTTAATTGCAGTTCTGTTGATCAGCACTTGTTCCTCTGGGCTTTGCTAGGTCTGAGTTTCAAGTTTGCTGTCATCAGTCTGGTTTGTTTTTTATTCAAGGGCCCAGGCTAAAATTTTGAACAATAGCTACAGAATCATCTTCTTCTCACGAGGGGTACCCTAAGCACACTAGAGCAAGCAGAAGACAGCACACTTCTTAAAGCCTCAACTTGAATTGACATATTCTCATGTCTGCTCACTCCCACTAATCAAATCAAGTCATGTGAAGGAGGGAGCTAAACCACCCACTTGTCAATACCCTACATTCATATAATTCCCTACGGGGCTGATAGCAAAACCCTTCTCCCCTTACCCTGCTCCTATAGAGAAACCTTCCTAGTGCCTGCTAGACAATAATGACTAACTAGGTATTGTGAATAAACTTACTTTGACAAATTGTCGTCCAGAATGGTTTTAATAATGTACACAATATTTGGGAGTGTTATTAGCATTGATAAAAGGGCTTTCTATATTAACAATCTAAGTACAAATACCTAATTTACTTTTCTTGGAGGCTGTGTTTTTTTTATTTTTCCTTTTATGTTTTATTTTTAAATCTGTGATACTCTTGCCATACATAATTTCACCATTTACCAGCTTGTTTTTAAATGGTTTGAATATTTTGACAAGCAGAGGTTTTGTTGTTGTTTGTTTCTTGTTTTTTTGTTTTTGTGGTTGTTTTTGTTTCTGTTTTTACATGTTTTTTATTTCTTGTACTTTGACAGCATCAGTCAATCTTTTTAATGACAACTTATAGTCTATAAGATGAACATATCATAACTTATCTAATGTTTCTTGTTGTGGATAAAGTTGTTTTCATTTTTTTCTTTTACAAATAATAATGTGATGAAGATCTTTGTAGGTTATCAAGACTTCATATAATTTTTTGAAAGATCCTAGAAAAAGATGGATCAAGTTCAAAAGTATTTTTAAAGTTATTTACATATTTTGTCAAATTATTCTCCAGAGAAGTTGTACTACTTTTCCCTCCCTTGTACACAAGACTGTGCAAGAGCCATCAACGCTTCTCGACCTAAATATTAACATTAAAGATATTTTGGACCAATTTAATGGTGAATGTTATCTTATTTTAATAGTACCAAAGGATAAGTACAAGATTCTGCATTGTGGGGAGATTGCGAGACAAATGAACTTTTAAAAGATATTTGGGAACAGACGAAATGGCCTGCTCTGCTGAGAAACTGAAAGGGCTTGAGACCCAGAGTGAAGCGAAAGGAAAATAAAATAGCACTTTGGGATGGAAAGGGGACGCCAGCACACCCCAGGTCTGTACCCCTGGCCTCGCAGTCTTCGGGGTCCCTGACAGGCAGTAGGGCTCAAAAGGAAGCCAAGTGCAGCTGCAGGGGGCTTCTCTCCGAGGGTCGCCCCGCAGTCTCTGGGTTATGATCCCCACGCGAGTACCTGGGAGTTCCCAGCCATTCGGCCCCTACAGAAGGACCAGGCAGAGGAATTTCTGATTCATGTGTTTTTCCGTGGGATGCCAGAAAGGGAGTTTTGAGAGCTCCTACACCAGCTTAGCTTGGGAGCCCCTACGCAACAACCATCCAGGTCCCGGAAGATGCCAGCTCTGCCTGGCGCCCGCAGCCCAGATCTCCTGCCCGGAGTACGGGGGCGCGGGCGCAGCCACCAAAGCTGAAATGTGACCGCGTCCCGGTCCCTTCCTGCTCTGGGGCGCGAAGCTGCCAAGAAACCGGCTGCGGTCTCCAGGAGGGGCCAGGAGGCAAAATGGAAGGAAGCGCTGGATCTCCGCGGCGGAAGTCATTCTTATGCCCTGCCAAAGGGTAGAGGGCAGCAACCGACTTGTGCGAAAGGAGGGAACGTGTGGGTCTGCCAGGGTCCTGCAGGGGGGATGAGACCCTCGCTCCGCTCCGGCGATCCCTTCGCTCTCCACCCTCGGCCAGCCCCTCCTGTCCTCCATCAGGCCTCGCTGAGGATACCTCCTGGGTTCCAAAGCGCGAGTTGAACCTGAGCTTGACATTCATTCCGTCTCGTACAAAAGCCATGCCTGCGGGGAGAGGGAGAAAATTTCCTACAGGAGCCTCAAGACTGCGTTTCAGGAAGCCCTAGGACCCACTGATCCTGCAGCTGCGCCTCTCACTCGCCTCAGGTTTGGATTAATTGTCACTTTCTGTTAAGCTGACATTTATGGAGGGCCTAGTGCGTCCTGGGTGCTGCGCTATTTAGGCTGTTGCACAGAGGAGTGGCCAACTCCAGCAAGGCTCTTGCTTTGCTGCTTCCCCATTCTTCCTCCGCCTGTAATCCAGACAAAAGCCCACATTGTAACCAATCCAGGGGCAGCTTAGCAGTGCCAAGCAGGCAGCTCAGAGGCCACTGGTAGGACAGGGCATGATCAACAGGCCTCCTGATATTTTCTAACATACGTATTAACAAGAAAGAGGAAATTAAAAAACGAAGATGGACAACAGAACTTCACTCTGACTTGAGTGACTTTTATCCTCATTTGGATAATAGTTTTCAAAAATTATTTGTGAGTGTATATGTGCTATTCACAAAGCAATGGCTACTGACCCAACACGTATTTACATCTCTTCTTCATTATTGCATTTCACTCCGTAAATGTCTTAGCCTAGACAATCAACAAAGCCATAAACCAAATCCTGATTTGTAGCATTTGCTGACTTCTGTGTTTAAATTACCCATCATAGGCGATTTTAAGTTACAATATGTAGTCGTTGAATACAGATTTGGAGAGAGTCACAATTGCACACTCTTTTATATTTTTCCACCTAAAAGGTACAATAGACATAAATAACTCTAAGAACACAGATAACAGCAAAATGTAGCAACTAATTAGGAAGAAATGAATTTTGTGTCTCCATTACTTTTCCAGTAAAATTCATCTAACAAGTGTATTACAAACAAGTGTATGCAATTGAATTTTAACTCAAAATTTTAGAATTTGAACAATTGATGCTAGTTAGGGTGTGAGCTAGCTCCAGCACATAATCCTGTCCCGTGAAGAGAAGTTTTATGGCTTACATTTTTAGATATATCTAAGTTTACTGGAACTCAAATACAGAACAAAATCCCACCAAAATTAACATATACTGTCATATATAAATATATACACTTTTATATGTGTACATATATATGTGTATACACACTTTAATATATGTATATATGTATATATACTTTATGTATATGTTTTACATATATTTTTAATATATGCATGTATCTGTATATATACTTTTAATTAACAGTCATGTTACAGAGGGCCTACTCTGACAGAAATGTACATCTCTCAGAATCATTATCATCCAGTGCAAGTGTCAGCTAACTACTGCCAATAGGCTAGATATCTCTAGCTTGCCACCTGGTTTTGTACTGCCAGAGAGCTATGTATGGATTTTACACATTTATACTGTAAAGACCATTATCTTTTCCACATGAACAGTTGCTTGAAGAGTTGAGGGTATTGGCAGTAGCAACAACAGACAACTAAAGAACAAAGCAAATATCCAGTATGTTTAGATGAGTTGGCAGCAATGCTGTTATTTCCTTGAGGAGTTAATGTTGAGTTTGAAGTCACTAAAGAATCATCTCCTATGAATAGTCTGCTGGGAACAACTATACATGAGAATATTTTTAAAGAAGTTGAGAAAATATGAATTCATTACAACCTGAAGTACAATCTGCTAAGATCTCTTTCAATTGAATCTGAGACAGTATGTGGAACAGAAAAAGTCTAATTTGAAAAAATTTACAAAGCTTGTGAAAATATACGTTGTTTATTTATTTATTCATTTTATTATTCATCAGCAGTACTTTGCATAAAACATTTTAATCTATCATTTGTTATTTAAACCAGCATTGTCATTGCTGAACTACATTCACTCTGGTGAACAGTTCAGACAACTAGAAATGAAAGATGAATACCCTGAGCTTGTCCTACTGCATGGCAGTTTGATGGGTTAGGACTCAATTTTTTTGAAATTTTTGAGCTTAAGGAAGAGATCAAAATATTTTTCTGTATGAAAAGAATTTCCCTTGGCCTGTACTAACAACCACTGAATGACTTTGGAAATTAGCTTTTGCTACAGACTTGATAATGCTTCTTATATCTTTCTTTCTTTTTTTTTTTTTTTTTTGAGATGGAATCTCGCTCTGTCACCCAGGCTGGAGTACAGTGACTCGATCTCAGCTCACTGCAACCTCCACCTCCTGGATTCAAGTGATTCTCCTGCCTCAGCCTCCTGAGTAGCTGCGATTACAGGCACGTGCCACCACGCCCAGCTAATTTTTGTATTTTTAGTAGAGATGGTGTTTCACCGTGTTGGTCAGGCTGGTCTCAAACTCCTGACCTCGTGATCCGCCCGCCTCGGCCTCCCAAAGTGCTGGGATTATAGGCATGAGCCACCATGCCCGGCCTTGATAATGTTTCTTAATGAATTCAACCTGTATATATACAAGGCAAGATGGTGCTTATATATGGAAGTTATACTGCAATATATCCTTTAGATAACGAATGTTATATAAATCCCTAGTAATGTTGAGTTGATCTGTAAATTTCTTATGTTGGAAAAAGTGAAAACAAAATGAACTCCATTCCCACACTATTTGAAGCATCTATAATTTCCCAGATCAAGCTACAGCTTCAATTACATTTTTCTCATCTTTAGGAAAGGACAGAGGAAATTCTGATATCTCAGAATCTGTTTAATTTTCCAATTGAGAAGCTGCCACCTAACTTTTCTTTTCTTTTTTTTTATTTTATTTTTCACAGAGTATCTTTTTTTTATTATTATACTTTAAGTTTTAGGGTACATGTGTACAACGTGCAGGTTTGTTACATATGTATACATGTGCCATGTTGGTGTGCTGCACCCATTAACTCGTCATTTAACGTTAGGTATATCTCCTAATGATATCCCTCCCCGCTCCCCCCACCCCACAACAGGCCCTGGTGTGTGATGTTCCCCTTCCTGTGTCCATGTGTTCTCATTGTTCAATTCCCACCTATGAGTGAGAACATGTGGTGTTTGGTTTTTTGTCCTTGCAATAGTTTGTTGAGAATAATGGTTCCCAGCTTCATCCACATCCCTACAAACGACATGATCTCATCATTTTTTATGGCTGCATAGTATTCCATGGTGTATATGTGCCACATTTTCTTAATCCAGTCTATCATTGTTGGACATTTGGGTTGGTTCCAAGTCTTTGCTATTGTGAATAGTGCCACAATAAACATATGTGTGCATGTGTCTTTATAGCAGCATGATTTACAATCCTTTGGGTATATACCCAGTAATGGGATGCCTGGGGCAAATGGTATTTCTAGTTCTGGATCCCTGAGGAATCGCCACACCGACTTCCACAATGGTTGAACTAGTTGACAGTCCCACCAACAGTGTAAAAGTGTTCCTATTTCTCCACATCCTCTCCAGCACCTGTTCTTTCCTGACTTTTAAATGATCACCATTCTAACTGCTGTGAGATGGTATCTCACTGTGGTTTTGATTTGCATTTCTCTGATGGCCAGTGATGATGAGCATTTTTTCATGTGTCTTTTAGCTGCATAAATGTCTTCTCCTGAGAAATGTCTGTTCATATCCTTTGCCCACTTGTTGGTGGGGTTGTTTTTTTCTTGTAAATTTGTTTGAGTTCATTGTAGATTCTGGATATTAGCCCTTTGTCAGATGAGTAGACTGCAAAAATTTTCTCCCATTCTGTAGGTTGCCTGTTCACTCTGATGGTAGTTTCTTTTGCTGTGTAGAAGTCTTTAGTTTAATTAGATCCCATTTGTCAATTTTGGCTTTTGCTGCCATTGCTTTTGGTGTTTTAGACATGAAGTCCTTGCCCATGCCTATGTCCTGAATGGTATTGCCTAGGTTTTCTTCTAGGATTTTTATGGTTTTAGGTCTAACATTTAAGTCTTTAATCCATCTTGAATTCATTTTTGTATAAGGTGTAAGGAAGAGATCCAGTTTCAGCTTTCTACATATGGCTAGCCAGTTTTCCCAGCACCATTTATTAAATAGGGAATCCTTTCCCCATTTCTTGTTTTTGTCAGGTTTGTCAAAGATCAGATAGTTGTAGATATCTGGCATTACTTCTGAGGGCTCTGTTCTGTTCCATTGGTCTATATCTCTGTTTTGGTACCAGTACCATGCTGTTTTGGTTACTCTAGCCTTGTAGTATAGTTTGAAGTCAGGTAGCGTGATACCTCCAGCTTTGTTCTTTTGGCTTAGGATTGACTTGGCAATGTCGGCTCTCTCTTGGTTCCATATAAACTTTAAAGTATTTTTTTTCAATTCTGTGAAGAAAGTCATTGGTAGCTCGATGGGGATGGCATTGAATCTATAAATTATCTTGGGCAGTATGGCCATTTTCATGATATTGATTCTTCTTACCCATGAGCATGGAATGTTCTTCCATTTGTTTGTATCCTCTTTTATTTCATTGAGCAGTGGTTTGTAGTTCTCCTTGAAGAGGTCCTTCACATCCCTTGTAAGTTGGATTCCTAGGTATTTTATTCTCTTTGAAGCAATTGTGAATGGGAGATCACTCATGATTTGGCTCTCTGTTTGTCTGTTATTGGTGTATAAGAATGCTTGTGATTTTTGCACATTGACTTTGTATGCTTAGACTTTGCTGAAGTTGCTTATCAGCTTAAGGAAATTTTGGGCTGAGACGATGGGGTTTTCTAGATATACAATCATGTCATCTGCAAACAGGGACAATTTGACTTCCTCTTTTCCTAATTGAAAACCCTTTATTTCCTTCTCCTGCCTAATTGCCCTGGCCAGAACTTCCAACACTATGTTGAACAGGCGTGGTGAGAGAGGGCATCCCTGTCTTGTGCTAGTTTTCAAAGGGAATGCTTCCAGTTTTTGCCCATTCAGAATGATATTGGCTGTGGGTTTGTCATAGATAGCTCTTATTATTTTGAGATACATCCCATCAATACCTAATTTATTGAGAGTTTTTAGCATGAAGGGCTGTTGAATTTTGTCAAAGGCCTTTTCGGCATCTATTGAGATAATCATTTGGTTTTTATCGTTGGTTCTGTTTATATGCTGGATTACATTTATGATTTGCATATGTTGAACCAGCCTTGCATCCCAGGGATGAAGCCCACTTGATCATGGTGGATAAGCTTTTTGATGGTGCTGCTGCATTCGGTTTGCCAGTATTTTACTGAGATTTTTGCATCGATGTTCATCAGCGATATTGGTCTAAAATTCTCTTTTTTTGTTGTGTCTCTGCCAGGCTTTGGTATCAGGATGATGCTGGCCTCATAAAATGAGATAGAGAGGATTCCCTGTTTTTCTGTTGATTGGAATAGTTTCAGAAGGAAAGGTATCAGCTGTTCCTTGTATCTCTGGTATAATTCGGCTGTGAATCCATCTGGTCCTGGACTCTTTTTGGTTGGTAAGCTATTGATTATTGCCACAATTTCAGCTCCTGTTATTGGTCTATTCAGAGATTCAACTTCTTCCTGGTTTAGTCTTGGGAAGTGTATGTGTCGAGGAATTTATCCATTTCTTCTAGATTTTCTAGTTTATTTGCATAGAGGTGTTTATAGTATTCTCTGATGGTAGTTTGTATTTCTGTGGGATCGGTGGTGATATCCCCTTTATCATTTTTTATTGCATCTATTTGATTCTTCTCTTTTTTCTTCTTTATTAGTCTTGCTAGCAGTCTATCAATTTTGTTGATCTTTTCAAGAAAACCAGCTCTTGGATTCATTGATTTTTTGAAGGTTCTTTGTGTCTCTATCTCCTTCAGTTTTGCTCTGATCTTTGTTATTTCTTGCCTTCTGCTAGCTTTTGAATGTGTTTGCTCTTGCTTGTCTAGTTCTTTTAATTGTGATGTTAGGGTGTCAATTTTAGATCTTTCCCGCTACCTCTTGTGGGCATTTAGTGCTGTAAATTTCCCTCTACACACTGCTTTGAATGTGTCCCAGAGATTCTGGTATGTTGTGTCTTTGCTCTCATTGGTTTCAAAGAACATCTTTATTTCTGCCTTCATTTTGTTATTACCCAGTAGTCATTCAGGAGCAGGTTGTTCAGTTTCCATGTAGTTGAGCGGTTTTGAGTGAGTTTCTTAATCCTGAGTTCTAGTTTGATTGCACTGTGGTCTGAGAGACAGTTTGTTATAATTTCTCTTCTTTTACATTTGCTGAGGAGTGCTTTACTTCCAACTATGTGGTCAATTTTGGAATAGGTGTAGTGTGGTGCTGAAAAGAATGTGTATTCTGCTGATTTCGGGTGGAGAGTTCTGTAGATATCTATTAGGTCTGCTTGGTGCAGAGCTGAGTTCAATTCCTGGATATCCTTGTTAACTTTCTGTCTCATTGATCTGTCTAATGTTGACAGTGGGGTGTTAAAATCTCCCGTTATTATTGTGTGGGAGTCTAAGTCTCTTTGTAGGTCTCTCAGGACTTGCTTTATGAATCTGGGTGCTCCTGTATTGTGTGCATATGTATTTAGGATAGTTAGCTCTTCTTGTTGAATTGATCCCTTTACCATTATGTAATGGCCTTCTTCGTCTCTTTTGATTTTGTTGGTTTAAAGTCTGTTTTATCAGAGACTAAGATTGCAGCCCCTGCCTTTTTTTGTTTTCCATTTGCTTGGTAGATCTTCCTCCATCCCTTTATTTTGAGCCTATGTGTGTCTTTGCACGTGAGATGGGTTTCCTGAATACAGCACACCGATGGGTCTTGACTCTTTATCCAATTTGCCAGTCTGTGTCTTTTAATTGGAGCATTTAGCCCATTTACATTGAAGGTGAATATTGTTATGTGTGAATTTGATCCTGTCATTATGATGTTAGCTGGTTATTTTGCTCATTAGTTGATGCAGTTTCTTCCTAGCCTCGATGGTCTTTACAATTTGGCATGTTTTTGCAGTGGCTGGTACTGGTTGTTCTTTTCCATGTTTAGTGCTTCCTTCAGGAGCTCTTGTAGGGCAGGCCTGGTGGTGACAAAATCTCTCAGCATTTGCTTGTCTGTAAAGGATTTTATTTCTCCTTCACTTATGAAGCTTAGTTTGGCTGGATATGAAATTCTGGGTTAAAAATTCTTTTCTTTACGAATGTTGAATATTGGTCCCCACTCTCTTCTGACTTGTAGAGTTTCTGCCGAGAGATCAGCTGTTAGTCTGATGGGCTTCCCTTTGTGGGTAACCCGACCTTTCTCTCTGGCTGCCCTTAACATTTTTTCCTTCATTTCAACTTTGGTGAATCTGACAATTATGTGTCTTGGAGTTGCTGTTCTCAGGGAGTATCTTTGTGGCGTTCTCTGTATTTCCTGAATTTGAATGTTGGCCTGCCTTGCCAGATTGGGGAAGTTCTCCTGGATAATATCCTTTAGAGTGTTTTCCAACTTGATTCCATTCTCTTCGTCACTTTCAGGTACACCAATTAGATGTAGATTTGGTCTTTTCACGTAGTCCCATATTTCTTGGAGGCTTTGTTCATTTCTTTTTATTCTTTTTTCTTTAAACTTCTCTTCTCACTTCATTTCATTCATTTGATCTTCCATCACTGATACCCTTTCTTCCAGTTGATCGAATCAGCTACTGAGGCTTGTGCATTCGCCACGTAGTTCTCGTGCCTTAGTTTTCAGCTCCATCAGGTCCTTTAAGGACTTCTCCACATTGGTTATTCTAGTTAGCCATTCGTCTACTTTTTTTCAAGGTTTTTAACTTCTTTTCCATGGGTTTGAACTTCCTCCTTTAGCTCAGATTAGTTTGATCATCTGAAGCCTTCTTCTCTCAACTCGTCAAAGTCATTCTCCATCCAGCTTTGTTCCATTGCTGGTGAGGAGCTGTGTTCCTTTGGAGGAGGAGAGGCACTCTGATTTTTAAAGTTTCCAGTTTTTCTGCTCTGTTTTTTCCCCATCTTTGTGGTTTAATCTACCTTTGGTCTTTGATGATGGTGACGTGCAGATGGGGTTTTGGTGTGAATGTCCTTTCTGTTTGTTAGTTTTTCTTCTAACAGTCAGGACCCTCAGCTGCAGGTCTGTTGGAGTTTGCTGGAGGTCCACTCCAGACCCTGTTTGCCTGGGTATCAGCAGCGGAGGCTGCAGAACAGTGGATATTGGTGAACAGCAATTGTTGCTGCCTGATTTTTCCTCTGGAAATTTTGTCTCAGAGGAGTACCCCGCCGTGTGAGGTGTCAGTCTGCCCCTACTGGGGGGTGCCTCCCAGTTAAGCTACTTGGGGGTCAGGGACCCCCTTGAGGAGGCAGTCTGTCTGTTCTCAGATCTCCAGCTGGGTGCTGGGAGAACCACTACTCTCTTCAAAGCTGTCAGACAGGGATATTCAAGTCTTCAGAGGTTTCTGCTGCCTTTTGTTTGCCTATGCCCTGCTCCCAGAGGTGGAGTCTACAGAGGCAGGCAGTCCTCCTTGAGCTGCAGTCAGCTCCACCCAGTTCGAGCTTCTCGGCCGCTTTGTTTACCTACTCAAGCCTCGGCAATAGCGGGCGCCCCTCCCCCAGCCTTGCTGCCACCTTGCAGTTTGATCTCAGTCTGCTGTGCTAGCAATGAGCAAGGCTCCGTGGGCTAGGACCCTCTGAGCCAGGCACCGGATATAATCTCCTGGTGTGCCATTTGCTAAGACCATTGCAAAAGCACAGTATTAGGGTGGGAGTGACCCGATTTTTCAAGTGCCGTCTGTCACCCCTTTCTTTGACTAGGAAAGGGAATTCCCTGACCCCCTGCAATTCCCAGGTGAGGTGATGCCTCACCCTGCTTTGGCTCACACTCGGTGCACTGCACCCACTGTCCTGCACCCACTGTCTGACACTCCCCAGTGAGATGAACCTGGTACCTCAGTCGGAAATGCAGAAATCACCCATCTTCTCCGTCGCTCACGCTGGGAGCTGTAGACTGGAGCTGCTCCTATTCGACCATCTTGGCTCCACCCTCACTGCCACCTAACTTTTCAACTGGAAATGATTACTCTGTAAAGCAATGACATAATAAAATACAAATATTAAGAAAATAGTCTGACAGAATTCTATCTGCCTTTTAAGGGATAAATTTGTACAATTGAAATTATATGCTAATGGATTGATATCAGTATTTGGCAGTTCTCTTAAATGTGAAAAGCTATTTCAAAGACAAAATCTGTAAAATCTCGTTTCAGATCAGCATTAACAGATGAGCAATTATTTATGATGAGCACAACTTTGAACACTGATTACATAAAATGTTAATAAAATAATTATCAAATTGTACTTGATTTCTATTTTGTGTTTCATCTATAATACTAGCAAGAATTTTTCTTGTTATACGAGGATCTGCATTTTATCCTTAATTTTGCCTTCAGCCTGGAAACCTAAAATATGTAGTATCTGGCCCCTTAAAACAATTTTGCTGATTCCTGATCTACTTGAAAATAAAATTAGTAAGTATGAATTGACCCTTTAGAATTCTTTACAAAAACACTCTGCTTACCTGATTGCTGCTGGTAATTATAAATAAAACATTTTGCACCCCCCCCCCAGCACTTTGGGGGGGCCAAGGCGGGCGGATCACGAGGTCAGGAGATCGAGACCATCCTGGCTAACATGGTGAAACCCTGTCTCTACTAAAAATACAAAAAATTAGGTGTGCGTGGTGGCGGGCACCTGTAGTCTCAGCTGCTCGGGAGGCTGAGGCAGGAGAATGGCGTGAACCCAGGAGGCAGAGCTCGCAGTGAGCCGAGATCACACCACTGCACTCCAGACTAGGCGACAGAGTGAGACTCCATCTCAAAAAAAAAAAAAAAAAAAAAAATTTTACAAATTTTATAAAAAGTCTAGTATAGTAATATATGATATAGATTTAGTTTATATTTAAATACTTGATATTAGATATATGGCCACTTAAAATATAATAATAAAAAAGCAATATTGTTTGAAATAAAATATTGATTGATATATCTATTATTATTCTTGACATATATTATGCCTGTATCATGTAGAAGTAATCTGTAAGAGTGATTTCAATCTTTCTAGCCACTTTCATCCAAAGTTTAATATATATTATTACACATCAGTAGGCCGTGTATCAAAATGCAGTATCAGTCTATAAGCAGTCTTTGCATTGTGACAAATTGCTTTCATGTTCCCTGTAAAGTTTTCTTCAAGGTACATTCTTATAACAAAGCTGCTTTGGAAAGGTAACCTCTGACCCAGATGAAATTAGAAATGTTTTCTCATGGCAAAAAATCTCTCACTTTGCATTCAAAAGCTGTGCTAGTTGAGGACTTTATGATTTATATGATTGCTGTTTTTAGCAAACCAATCTATATGTCCTAGGGAATAATATATACATACATCTTATAGTTGATATTTCTGTTGGCAATAAACCACTTCTTACCCTACTCGAGAATGCAGGAATTGCTTTTCTTATTTTGCTTCCTTTGTCTCTTTTTAATGTGGAGTTTACCATGTGATCAACTTTTCTAAACAAATTCTGAATTTTTAATTTTGCAATGTACATACATTTGCTTATGTAGTTTACTGGATATAGACATAAAAACACCTATCACATGATATATATTATGGACTGAAAATTCCCTAAGTTTTTGATAACAGCAATACATTACTTCCCTACTTTGTCAATTCCACTCTTACAAATTGTATAATATTTTCCTTATGAATAGGTGTATCTACATGCTCATCTTAAGTCTTTAAACTTTGAAAATCGGCGGGGCGCGGCGGCTCACGCCTGTAATCCCAGTACTTTGGAAGGCCGAGGCTGGTGGATCACGAGGTCTCAGGAGATCGAGACGATCCTGGCTAACATGGTGAAACCCCGTCTCTACTAAAAAATACAAAAAATTAGCCAGGCCTGGTGGTGGGTGCCTGTAGTCCCAGCTACTTGGGAGGCTGAGGCAGGAGAATGGCGTGAACCCGGGAGGCGGAGCTTGCAGTGAGTTGAGATCACGCCACTGCACTCCAGCCTGGGTGACAGAGCAAGACTCCATCTCAAAAAATAATAATAATAATAAAAGTAAATAAATAAATAAACTTTGAAAATCAACTTTAAATTCCAGATCATTTATATAATGTTATATCCATACACTCAGAACCACTACAGATAAGTCAGAAGCTCAACGACGCTGTTGCCTTTTTAATTCATATGTTCATTCAGCATTTAAAGAATAAGTACCAAATGCCCAGCACTGACCTAGATGCTAAATCCAGCCAAATAATAGTCATTGTACCACCTTATTCTTATTCAAAAATTTACTGATTTTTATAAGTTTCATAATAATGGAACCAAATGGGTTATCATTTTTAAATGTGTGCTTCAAATATCATAATTTATTTAAAACATATAATATTATTTTATTTATTTTCCTCATATCGAAAAACTATTCTGTAAAAGAATGTCAGTGTTTATTCTTCTTCCTCCAGTTTTACTTTTAGTTATCTTTTACATTGAGCATGTAGAGTTGAATTTTATTCTAAAGCCTAATTTCTTTAACAGGCCTTTGCTTTAAGCTTAGGTTTTGTGGTATGTTTTCTTATTCTGGGAAGATAAATATATTTAATATACTTTAAATTGGATCATATTTTATGAGACCTCAAGGGATCTATTCTTATATGAACGAAACATTATTGCATAATTATTACTTCAGATAACTCAAATGATGACTAATTAAATATACATATAATACATTTATCAGTGAAAAAATTGCAATGACATTTTCTTTACCCTTTTGAAAGTGCCTGTATTCTTTGCAGAAGAAGTTTTAAGAAGGAGCCAGTATAACAACAACTGAGAACATGATTTAGCATTAATATTTCATAATGCAGTTGAGGTTCATGGTTAACTTGAGAAATGCCAACATCCTCCAGGTAAGCATGACTCTGGGATTCTCTAACAAGGTGATGCATAAGGCTCCATGGAAGATGTTGGTCTTTGTGCGTACATTTTATTAATGATAAATTTATTTTATTATTGATTTAGAAAAGTGTTCTGAAGAGACCTTCATTATAAAGAAAAAAATATAAAATCCATAACTCTTTCTCCCTGAATTTACGATTTATACCACAAACTATGCTAACTTTTAGTTTTCTAGAATATCCATAGCCTTAATTCTAAAATGAGTAAAGAAAGTTTAGCCATTTGACCACTTTAACAAACAAAAGTTCCTGATGTGTTATTCTGGAACTATGGTCTGTAATTAAGCATTTACCAGGAATATAACCAGTTAGTTATATTCCATTTGGAAAACACAAACAAATGTACAAACAAACCAATAAAAATAGGCAAAGATAAAGCATAAATCTTTTACATGGTTCAAGAAGAACAATTTATGTATAAGTGAAAGATACTAGGCTGGTTGAGTTTTGGTATTATACCATACTAGACATTTTCCCTATCTACATTTTTGTGTTGTCATGTAATTTCTTTTTAGAAATGACAGTGCTAGTAATTGATTTATTTAATGTATGTATATTGGTTAAATTTGTTTTTGTCAGCATATGTTCATTTCCTTTCTTATTCGTTTTCTATGTATTTATTTACTATTTACTCATCTTTGAAATACGAAGGCCCAGGATGTGGGCTGTGTGGGAGGCAAATGCGCTGTTTCTCACAAATCGTTTAACAAAAATCCCAAGCAGGGTGCCCCTTACATTCTCTCCTACATCTCATCAGAGATATGCTTAGCATAGAAAGCACATGGAATGTGTCTGCCATAGATGATGACATTCTGATGTTCCTGTAGTTTTGTGGTATTTGAAAGGTACTGTTGATTATTTTTTCTTTAAAACTTTCCTACAGAGAAGGGTAGAACATATCTTTCTCTAAATTCTACTAGAGAGTGAATTATGCAGTAACCTCATGCAAAACAAAGTCTATTAAGCAAGTCCTTGTGTTTATAAGTGAAAGACCCTCTGATTTTCTGACTATTTGAAATGTTTGGATAGTTCAAACTCTGAGTTTGGCTCCTTTTCAATAGTTTTAAAGAAATTTAGATAAATCAGTGCCTAATGAAAAGCTTTGTAGCGTATTCATGTATACAATATAAAAGAATTTCCTATCGTTTCCAGACAACTGCTCACAAATAACAAACCATTCTGGGAAAACAAAGCAAAATAGAACAGCAACAAAAATAAAAGAAATACCTCAAGCATAGCAAGAGCATTACTAGCTTTCAATATTTCTTGCTTTCTATTTTTCAGTAGAGGTCAGGGAAGTCCCTTCCCTCACCTTTTGTAAACTACTTTTTCATTTTCCCTCTGTGTAGTTCTTTCCCCCATTTAATAGCGCAGTATCAGTATACCTGGGAGCCTGTTAGAAACACAGCATTTCAGACGCTACTCCAAACATATTGAATCACAATCTTTCATTGAACAAGATCCCAGAGTGATAAATATACACATTAAATTTTGAAAAAGAAGGGGTAGAGAAGGTTTGACCTGAGATCCCTACTACCTAGGTGAGGTACCTTTAATTTCAAATCAATATTGCCCACTTGAGTTTTTCATATCTGAGGGAGCAGCTAAATGGTAAGAACATTCCTACTGCAGTTCATCAACTTTAATGTGTGGACATAGATAGAGCCATATACTATTATCTCCAATTGATATAATAAAACCCATTGGTTTCATCTACTCTGTATTGTTTAAATATTTTACAATAAGCATGGATGAAATTTATTACATAACAAAGACATTTTCACTGAAACAAGGAACTAAATTCCATTGTGCAAATTTTGAAACCAACATTAACACTAATTAAAACTTGAAGATTTTAATTGACTCAGAGATTATGCCATATATCATAAGAATCTTTGTATAACTTTAAAAAACAAACCAAACTTACACTGAAAACAATTTTTACATAAACATATGCCATATAACATTTTTAGAAAGAAAGAAGACTGCATCCTCTCTACACCCACATACACAATACTGCATAAGCACACAAAAGTCAGTTTGAAATAACTGTTCCATCTTTAGTGGATGAAGACAAATAGGAACATTGAGCAATTTTCTACTATGAGTTCCAGTATAAAAATCAAGACATTACCAAGAGACATTATTATAATTAGCTATAACCATGTTATTTCCTAAGTATGATGATTCTAATAGATTCATTTTCCATGGTTTACTTCTTTGCTGTTGCCAAAAGATTGTCCAAAGAAGAGTCATTATAGTTGAATCTGGTTAATAACCCTTGTTTCTTTGCAAAACTGGAATTATAAGAGCATAGATGGATATTCAACAACAAAAATAAAGAAAACCTTGATGTGTATTATGCAAAAGGCTCTTAACTATATTATTTGGGCAATAGAGTTTATGGAAGAAAGCAAGATAAAATGAAAGTATTTTAATGTATAGTGCATAATAGAGAATAAATCAATAATACCTTAAGTTGTTAATGCAGAATGTTTTATAGAATTATGTGGAAAGAAAGATCAAGGGAAACCTTGGGAACTAAACTATATGCACAAGCTCTTGTGCAATAATTTGTTATAAGTAACTGATTTTTAATAAAGAAAAGATGATTAAGCAGAGACATTTTGTATTAGCTTGCTGTTAATTAGCACTCCAAGTAATGGTTGAACTAATTCTTCATGATGCTGTATCAGTAAGATTACACTCATAGGGCAGAATCCCATTGACTTGGTTAAACTCCATATATCTGCCTTGTGTGAAGGTTCTCTGCAGAGACACAAGGAGATTATTTACCCAAATTAGGTAAGAGACACACCACAGATCATCAACTCTGTGTTCAGACATGCACAATCAAAAGAAAAACTGTGCCTAAAGCTCCGTAAATTTGTTTTATAAGCTTCCAGTATTAAAACTGAATGATATTTCAAGCTGAATAAATTGCTTTGTCTTTAAAATTCAGTTTTAAAATTTAATTACAGAAATGTGGAGGGAAAGGATTTTTAAAAACTAGTTGATTTATTAATTACTCTATATTTCAGATACTCTACTAAATGCTTTGTGTCCACCATCTCACATAATGTTTGCAAAAAATTTGGGAGTCAACTACTATTTTTATCTCTATTTTACAAATTATGAAAATGGAGCACTGAAAGACTAGTAGACGAATTCACATATTTCAAAAATAAGGCAGAACTCAAATGAAACAAGATACTATGAATACAAATTTCTTTCATGTTATATAAATAACCCAGTTAAATTATATGTGGATGCTAAATTCAGAGTGTTTCCGCATCCTTTATTCTCATGAAATTTCTTATACTTTTTTCCAAAAAACATAATAAAATAATCTGCTTCCAAAAATATATATTACTTTACCTTTCTCTGTGACTATAATGATAAAGATTTTTTTGTGTGCATGATGTTATTATCTGGAGAAAAGTGGTGGGCAAAAATGCCATAGTATCACAAAGGTAAATAAAATGAACACAAAGAGGCCACCATTAGAGGCAACTGGGGTCACTGGTGACAATTGTGAGAATATTTTCAGAATGATAATGAAAGAAGAGTCCAGGTTGGATATTGACAGGGTAAGTTAGCAAATATAGAACATTTTTCAAGAAGCAGAGTAGCAATGGAAAGTAGACAGGTAGTAATTTAGAGAGGAGTCATAGATTAGCTTCTTCTTAAAAATTAAATACAGAGACTTCAACATGTATAAATTAATGGAAAGAATGGATTATGCAAAAGCAGGTCTGGAGATACCAAAAAGAAAATACATAATAGAAGGTTAAGGATAGAAGCAGAGCCAAGTAAAAGGATAAAGATGAACACAACAGATACAGGTTTAGAAAGTAGCAGGTTTATTTCTGTTGTGCTAGAAGTTTTAGAGATAATGGTAATGAAGAAAAATATCAGAATCACTGTTTTTTTGAGATTACTCTTCAGAAAATATTGTACATGGGACCAATTTAAAAGTATAAAGACACCTCAAAACTTATTGCAAAGAAAGCAGCCCAATTTACCAGTTTTTAAATGGGCAAAAAATTTGAGTGGATATTTCACCAAAAAAGGTATAAGGATGTCTAATAAGCACTTGAAAAACTGTTTGAAATCATTAGCTGTTAGGGAAATACAATTTAAATCCGTGATGAGATGCCATTACATACCTTTTTCAATGACTTAAAAATAATTCTGACAACACTGAGTGCTGTTGAGGATGCAGAGCAACTGGAACTTCCATACATTGTTGGCGTGAATACGAAAATAGTATAACCACTTTGGAAAACAGTTTGGCAGTTTTTAAAAAAATAAAGCTACATATTCACTTATCACATGACCCAGTGATCCCACCACTGGGTATTTATTTTAGAGAAATAAATATTTATCTTCACACAGAAGCAAATTTTTATAGTAGTTTTTATAACCATCCTAAACTGGAAACAATGAAAATATCCTTTAACATATGAACTGAAAAACTATGATACATCTATGCATTGGAATATTATTTGGCAATAAAAAGCTCAAACTATTAATTTATGCAACAACTTAGATGAATTTCAAGGCATTATGCTGAATATAAAAAAAGTCTCAAAATATTATATTAATATAATCTATAATTCCTGATATTGTCTGCCTGTGTCCCCATCCAAATCTCATCTTGAATTGTAGCTCCCATAATTCCCACATGTTGTGGGAGGGACCTAGTGAGAGATAATGGAATCATTTGGGGCAGTTTCCCCCAAATGTTCTCGTGGTAGTGAATAAGTCTCACAAGATCTGATTACTATATAAGGGGTTTCCCCTTTCACTTGGCTCTTATTCATTCTAGCCTGCCACCATGCAAGACATGCCTTTCACCTTCCACCATGATTGTGAGGCATCCCCAGCCACATGGAACTGTGAGTCCATTAAACCTTTTTTCTTTATTAATTACCCAGTCTCAGGTATGTCTTTATCAGTAGTGTGAGAACAGACTAATACAGTAAAGTGGTACCAGTGGAGTGGGGCATTGCTGTAAAGATAACCAAAAATGTGGAAGCAACTTTGGAACTGGGTAACAGACCGAGGTTGGAACCATTTGGAGGGCTCAGAAGAAGACAGGAAAATGTGGGAAAGTTTGGAACTTCGTAGAGACTTGTTAAATGGCTTTGACCAAAATGCTGATAATGGACAATGGAATCCAGGCTGAAGTGGTCTCAAATGGAGATGAGGAACTTGGGAACTGGAGCAAAGGTGACTCTTGTTAAAACAGTAAAGAGACTGGTGGCATTTTGCCCCTGCCTTAGAGATATGTGGAACTTTGAACTTGAAGGGGATGATTTTGGGTATCTGGTGGAAGAAATTTCTAAGCAGCAAAGCATTCAAGAGGTGATTTGGGTGCTGTAACAAAGCATTCAGTTTTAAATGGGAAACAGACCATAAAAGTTCAGAAAATTTGCAACCTGATGATGTGATGGAAAATAAAAACCAATTTTATGAGGAGAAATTCAAGCGGGCTGCAGATATTTGCATAAGTAATGAGGAACCAAATGTTAATTGCCAAGACAATGGGGAAAATGTCTTGAGGGCATGTCAGAGACCTTTGTGGCAGTCCCTCCCATCACAGGCCCAGAGACCTAGAAAGAAAAAATGGTTTCGTGAGCCAGCCCCAAGTCCCTCCTGCTGTGAGCAGCCTCAGGACTTGGTACCCTGCATCTTAGCCCTGGCTAAAAGGAGCCAAGGTAAACCTCAAGGCATGGCTTCGGAGGGTGCAAGCTCCAAGTGCTGTTGGCTTCCACATGGTATCAAGCCTGCAAGTACACAGAAGCCAGGAATTGAAGTTTGGGAACCTCCACCTAGATTTCAGAGGATGTACTGAAATGCCTGGATGTCCAGGCAGAAGTTTGCTGCAGGGGCAGGCCCCTCATGGAGAACCTCTGCTAGGGCAGTATAGAAGGGAAATGTGGGGTTGAAGACCCCACAAAGAGTGCCCTCTGGGGCACTGCCTAGTAAAGCTGTGAGAAGACAGTCACCATCCTCCAGACCCCAGAATGGTAGATCCACTGACAACTTGCACCATGTTCCTGCAAAAGCTGCAGACACTCAATGTGAAAGAAGCCAGGAGGGGTCTGTACCCTGCAAAGCCACAGGGGCAGAGCTGCCCAAGACCATGGGAACCTACCTCTTGCATCAGCATGACCTGGATGTGAGATGAGACATGAAGTCAAAGGAGGTCATTTTGGAGCTTTAAGACTTGACTGCCCCACTGGATATCAGACTTGCATAGGGCCTGTAGCCCCTTTGTTTTGGCCAATTCCTCCCATTTAGAATGGCTGTATTTACCCAATGCCTGTACCCTCATTGTATCTAGGAAGTAACTAGCTTGCTTTTGATTTTACATGCTCATAGGTGGAAGAGACTTACCTTGTCTCAAATAAGACTTTGGACTATGGACTTTTGAGTTAATGCTGAAATGAGTTAAGACTTTGGGGGACTGTTGGGAAGGCATGATTGGTTTTGAATTGTGAGGACATGAGATTTGGGAGGCCCAGGGATGGAATGATATGGTTTGGCTGTGTCCCCACCCAAATCTCACCCTGAATTGTAGCTTCCATAATTCCCATGTGTTGTGGGAGGGACTGGTGGGAGGTAATTGAATAATGGAGGCTGTTTTCCCCCATACTGTTCTCATGGTAGTGAATAAGTCTCACAAGATCTGATAATTTTATAAGGGGTTTCCCCTTTTGCTTGGCTCTCATTCACTCTTGCCTGCCACCATGTAAGATGTGCCTTTCACTTCTGCCATGATTGTGAGACCTGCCCAGCCATATGTAACTGTGAGTCCATTAAGCCTCTTTTTATTTGTAAATTACACAGTCTTGAGTATGTCTTTATCAGCAGTGTGAGAACAGACCAATACAATTCCATTTAAATGACATTCTCAAAAAGACATAGTGATGGAGAATAGATCAATAGTTGACAGGACTTAGGGATGGGGAAGGGGTACCGATAAAGAAATAGCACAAGAGAGTTTTTGGGGTGATGAAATTGCTTTGTATCCTGACTGTAGTGCTATCCTGACTATAGTTTTGTGTGTGTGTGTGCACATGCATACGTACATACACACAGATATGCACCACCCACACACACACATATGCATAAAATTGTACATCCCAAAAAAGTAATTTTACTGAATTAAAAGAATATGTTTTTGGGCTAGACTGGATAAGAAAATAGTTAGAGCTAAATTGCTATGTATAATACAACAATTGGGATTTGGTAGTTATCTTCCAGCTGCATAAGTGAAACATTGGAAGACTTGAAAAGGAGATGAGAGAAGAAAGGACTGACTAAAAAAAAAACAAGTCAGCAATATGGGACAGGCCAGGGCCTAAGAAGAAATTTGCTCAGAGAAAATTCCTTGCTGCAAGAGTAACCAACACAAAACTATCAGATTGTAAATTTCTTCCTCTTTTGTTATTGATATTTCCCTTTTATTACTACCACTTATTTAATGAAAATTCTACTTTGAGCAGAAGTTTTGTGTTAGTTATTTTAATGAATATAGAAGAAATGGCCTCTGTCCACTTATCGTAGCTAGCTGCCAGAGACATGTGCATAGAACAGCAGCTGAAAGAAATGAGATGGTGAGAGAGAATTGAGAACATAGAGTAGCAAAAAGGGCATGGAAAATAACAACTCCTCCTCCCAAGGAATCCTGCACAACACTTTGATGAATGTTGCATCTCCCATAAAATGAGCACATTTACATCTAGTCAAGGGAAAGGTATCCCAAAAAGGCTAGGGGATCTGGAGACCCTTGGGTTACACATGTGTAACTACAAAACCTAATTCTAATTTGCTCTTTCTGAATTATGCCAATGATAATCACTGTGGGCATCACAAACATTATTCTCATCATTTAAATTATTTGATGTCTAAACTCCTTTATACAGTAGAATTTTTTCCATGAAGTCAAATATATCTTATTGGGATATGCATTTATATAGATCTAATTCTAGCAATCATATTCTTTACTTTTACACACCTTTGCAACTTCCGCACTTGCCATTTTATTGGAATGTTTTTAACTCTACATAAAAATCCGCTTCAGCATCTGATAGCAGATTAAACATAACTTCATTCCATATGTAACAGTGTGAACTCATGATGTAACTATTGTCCCTTGGTGGCTCGTGACCTCCCAGGCACCCAGGCTTCTCTAAACTAGTTAACAGCCCCAGAATGCAGCAAGAGCTTTTTGGCCATTATCATGCTGTCCATCACAGCATCTCATTCAAAATGCACAAAAGAAGAGGATGGTGTCATTTGCAGGCAGTTAAAACACACCAGAGAAGTATGCTGGATTCTGAAAAGCTCTGTGACATGTGCCATCACAGCCCTTTGTTTTCACTGCTGACTTGAGTGAAACAGGCAGTAATATACAGCACCCTATTCTTACTATTATCCTGGCAAGAATATAACATGTATAAACCATTTTGGCTCTTACTTCATTTCTATTTACTTATTTTGAAATTATATACTTCTTCTACCTCTCACTCCCTCTTTCTTTTTATTAGGAAAACCATGCTTGCTGTCCTGTGGAATAATCTATTTGGAGATACTTGTATTTGTCTGCCAGGACTGACATAGCAAAATACTGCAGACTGAGTGAATTAAACAATCTAAACGTTATTTTCACACAGCACTGGAAGCCAGAAGTCCAAGATCAAGGTGTTGTCAGGCTTGTAAACTGCTGAAGGTCCTTTCCCTGGCTTACAGATAGCTGTCTTCTCAATGCATTCTCACATGGCCTTTCTTCTGTATGCTCATGGCTGGGGTGGTGGGGGAAAGGAGAGAGCAGGAGTTCTGGGTATCTCTTCCAATTCTTATAAGGACGTCAATCCTATCTGATCAAAGACCATCTCTTATGACCTCACTAACCTTAACTGTGTCATTAAAGGCTCTATATCAAAATATAGGATAGTCACATTGGGGGTTAAGGCTCCAACATATGAACTAGAGGGACACAGTCCATCCATAATGCTTGGGTTCTGTTGAATCCTTTCTTTAATGCTTCATTTCTTAATTCTATGAAGAAATTTGCACAAAGGCAGAAATACACTTTCTGAAGAATTCACTTGAACCTTTATATGACAATTTCTTTTATTGAAAATGCATCTCTGTTCCTTTTCTTCAGCATAATTATGTCCAGAAGGAACCTTGGATCTGCACCCATTGATTAGGTCTGCTCTGGGAGTCAAGCGTAGCTCTCTGAGTTTCCCAATTGAATCACATTGCTCTTTAATGTCTCAGATTTAAAATCAATAAAATGGCAAGAGAAATGTGCACCATTTATTTCCATCACATGAAGAATGATATGAGAAAGGGTACGTTTAGTGATGTGATTGAGTGTTCTGGCCACACAGTAAACACTGAGACAAGTAAACTATGAAAGAAAAGGAAAATATATACTTAAAGGCAAAAAAGAAAATAAGGAAAGAAATCCTGATGTATGGGTTAACTAATTAGTTGAAAATACCGTAACAGCTCATTGGGCAATTTCGTAATCAGATGAGCCCAAGGGATGAATATGATCAAGTTTATAACAGTTCATTTTCTTTGAATGCAGCTGTATACAATGCCTCAGGAGATTCTAGAAGCAATGAAACTACAGTGACTCTTTTGATTGATAACATATTCAATCCCTAAAATCCATGAATAGAAAAGCATACGGTTATGCCTTGAAGGGTATCCATAGACACTGTGGAGCCCCTTCTAGAGAGAGAGTGAAGTAGCTGAAAGCTGCTGTGAATGGAAATCTCAATTGTGTTCCTTTCTTAAAGATGGTCTTTTAAAAGGTTTTTTTTTTTTCATTTTTTTCTCAGTATCTAAGTTCATAAGGTTAAACTATGTTGTGATTGCTGTAATTGTAATTTCTCTCCCAGTGATTTTATAGCCAACAAGGGAACATCAGCACCCACTGATTCTTTGTGGGAAATAATCTATTTAAAGATATTTGCTTCAGTGGAATTCTTTTTAATGCTTCACTCCATTATTTTATTATGGAGAAATATGCATGAAGTCAGAATTGGAGCTTCCAAATAATTCATGTATCTCTATATTTATTATTTCCTGGAAGTGATAAGCCTCTGCTGATAGCAGCCCAGATGGGTGCTAGGGAAGCAATAATAATTTAAAACATAATGGGAATTCAGAGTTGCAGGACATCTGCAAACATCAAGGACTCTTGTTAAGGGGCTAATGCCACACTCATTGTATGACTTATTTCTTTCTTTTTCTTTCTTTTTTAAAATTTTATTATTATTATTATTATTATTATTATATTATTATTATTTTTGGAGACAGAATCTTGCTCTTTCACCCAGACCAGAGGGCAATGGCACCGTCTCGGCTCACTGCAACTTCTGCCTCCCGGATCAAGTGATTCTCATGTTTCAGCCTCCCAAGTAGCTGCGATTACAGGCACATGCCACCACATGCACAACTAAATTTTTGTATATTTAGTAGAGACAGAGTTTCACCATATTGGCCAGGCTGGTGTCGAACTCCTGGCCTCAGGTGATCAGCCCACCTTGGCCTCCCAAACTGCCGAGATTACAGGCATGTACCACCACGCCCAGTGGGTATGACTTCTTTCTTAGAGTTGTCTCTCTCTCAGTAATTACTGGGTTATCAAACACATATATTTAAACAACCCTTTGGGTGGCACACAGGCATAGTCTGATTCAGCTATTTAAACATTGATTGATACGATATATTTTGGTAAGATACAAAACATCTAACATTACCCAACAATCTCTTTCAATTGGTGGAAATTTACATTAAAAGAATATAGTAAACAAGAGAAGTAAGTAGTATGATTTTGCTAAGCAATGTCTGAAATATATAGTAAATGCAAATTTCCTTCTCTTCCATCCTTTCTTTCTAAAGCTAAATGTGTTCTCATTTAGGGTGGCGGTTTTCCAGGCTTGAGGATGGGGCCTTTGCTGAGGAATCACCTTCTTTTACCTAATATTTCCCTGTCTCTTGTTCATATAATCAGTATTCTTTTATCCATAAAAAGGAGAATAGTTCTCAGATTACCCCATCATGGCATTTCTAAATACTGTTTGGAAACACTACTACAAAATAATTTTTTTTGCACACAAAATTTCAATTTAAGTCAGTTCTTCAAAGTCTCTTTAAACTTACAAAAGTTTATAGGTCCTTTTTTTGTCAGTGCAGTGATTCTTAAATTTTTCTTTTTTGTTGTTTATGGATCCCTTTGAGAATGTAATGAAAATAAAGAGTCCTCAATATAGAAAAATGTACATATACATAATACAAAATACAACTCCTAGGATCCCAGGCTCCTGGGTCCCCTGGAGTCCATCCATGGGCTCCAGATTGAGAATGGCATAAGAATCCAACGATCAATTTATTTACTACAGAAGACTCATATTTTAATTGAAATTTTATAAATTCTAAGTCGTTATGAAGCTTGAAAAATCATCGTTTACCATTGCTAATATCATGAAGGGAAAAGTTTGAATCAATTTGGTTTCATAGGCCATGTGTGAATATTGATTTCAGCCTGCCACATAGCCTTTCTGCACACTAAGTGAAGAGACTATTCTGGCTGCATTTCAAGGCAACACTCATCCACCTCAGTGATAAATGCTGAAAACAAGCTGCAAGGGATCCAGCTGCCTCAGCCACATCACAGCCTGCTTCTATATGTGTCCAAAAGATTAGTTAAATAATATTGATAATTCTGCATGCAGTAATTATTTCCTTGTTTCCGTAGACTTGAGTGAGAAGTTATTTGAAATTTCCAAATCTATGTCAAAAGACAGATGATTCTGAAAAGTGCTAGGATTTTGACTATTTGTGGGTAAAAATCCTTAAATGCTTATTAATTCGACAGTTATTATTTATTTCATATAAATGTAAAATACATTAAAAGCCTATACTTTAATAAAGCTAAAATGAAATGTCTTATTTTTTTTCTGTTTACACAGGGCATCAATTTTACCCAGATTTTCATTTCCTTAGCACACTTATAGGGTATCATTTTAAAGTTGGTTCATTGCTCAGATTGCCTATAACAGACTGTTTCCACTAAATATAATGCATAATCTTTTACTTACATGTTAAGAAATAGTTTCTATAGCACAGACATCATTACCTGATTCGGCCTCAATGAGCTTTTTAAAAAATGTATAAAAATTCACAAAAATAGAATGTATTAGTCCGTTTTTATGCTGCTGATAAAGACATACCCAAGACTGGGCAACTTATTGGACTCACAGTTCCATGTGGCTGGGGAGTTTTCACAATTACAGTGAAAGGCAAGGAGGAGCAAGTCACATCTTACATGAATGGCAGCAGGCAAAGAGAGAGTGTGTGTAGGGAAACTCCCATTTTTAAAACCATCAGATCTTGTAAGACTTTTTCACTATCACAAGAACAGCATGGGAAAGACTCGCTCCCATGAGTCAATTACCTCCCACGGGGTTCCTCCCACGACACATTATGGGAATTGCGGCAGTTACAATTCTAGATGAGATTTGGGTGGGGACACAGCCAAATCAATATCATACAATAAAATGCAAAACGTACTTTTAAGATGATATTGTATGAACGGTTTAGATAATTTTCAATAATGAATAGTATTCATTTTCAAAGGTATATCATTTTTAGAAATGTTATATTTTAAAACATAAAAATGAGCAGTCCAGGTCAACTTTCTGTGATATATTAAATTTTGATTGCTAGTATATAAAAACAACACACAAAAAGCTGTCTTGCACATCACTCTCTTTGGAAATTATTAAGGAACTTTTTTAGAGATGAACATTTAATTGAAAAAAACGTAAGTCCTATGGAAAAGGTCACTTAAAAACTCAAAAAAAGTTACAGATATGTTATAAGTCTAATGTTCAAGTCCGTTGATATCAGGAGTCCAAGGTTGTATGTACAAAACCATGCTTTATGTCACATAGACAATTAATTCACTTTCTACTCTTTTGATAAACATCAGTTTGAAGTCTGTAAGCTCACAAATTTAGACTCAAAGTTATTACAGTACACTAGAATTAATTATATGCAGTCAACCCTTCATATCAGTGTGTTCCACATCCATGGATTCAACTAATCTTAAATCAAATATACTTTGAAAAAATATCACAAAGTTCTAAAAAACAAAACTTAAATTTGATGCACACTGTGTACTACATTGAATCCATGCAAATGAAGTGATGTGTAGACCCCATAGTAAGTGTTATCCATAATCTAGATATAATTTAAAATATATGAGAGGATGTACACAGGTAATAAGCAAATAAATACTATGTCATTTTATATAAAGGACTTGAGCATGTGGATTTGGGTATCCATAAGGAGTCCTGGAACCTATCCCCCATAGATACCAAGGGATGACTGTATACCAGTAAATTATAAAATAATATAAAAATAAAACGTGTTTTCTAAATGCTTACTTCTTTTTCAGAAAAATAAACTTCAAAAGTTCTTTGATATTTGAAACTTCTTAATTCTTCTTAAACGAAGACGACTCATCTATCACAATATATTTTCTTCAGACACTAGATCTGTTACATTTTTCTTTAGACACTAGATCTTCACTTTATGAAGAAAATAATTCCACATATATTTAAAACATACTATATGCTCACTATTGGCTAAATATATTACATGTATAATCTCATTTAATCCTTAAAATGACTCTATGAGTGATGTCATTTTACTGATGAAGAAAGTGAAGCTTTTAGAGATGAAATACTCACACCACTGGCAGGATGGAGATTTCAGCTGCAGTCCTCTTGACTCCAAATTTTGAGCTTTACCCCCTACAGTCGTCATCCCTTACAACTATCATGGTCTTAAATGTCTTCCCTAGTACTACAACTTGTGAAATGTTACACAAAATTTTAAAACATCGGCATCTTACTAAATAAAGGCACAATATCATTATAGTTACAAGTGTGGGCTGTGGAGCAGATTCCTGATCCCACCAACCAGTGGTCTAAATTACTTAAACTCCGTTCTTCAGTTTATACATCTGCAAAATTGGTGTAATTATAATGCTAATTTTATAAACTTATTATGGTTATGAAATGAAACCTATCCAACAATACATACAAATTACTAAAAAACAGCCTTAGAACATAATAAATAATGTATGTTGTTAATGTAACTACTATTA
The DNA here is from genome assembly GCF_000001405.40 of Homo sapiens. Taxonomy (NCBI): domain Eukaryota; kingdom Metazoa; phylum Chordata; class Mammalia; order Primates; family Hominidae; genus Homo; species Homo sapiens. The sequence continues at coordinate 87,115,573 of NC_000003.12, forward strand.
TCAAGTTATCTTTTCTTCACATGTCACTTTTCCATGAAAAAAAAACAAAATTTTTATCAGATAGAAGTCATATATTGTGGTTTTTCATCTCCTTTGAAATGGAATTGCTTTTCAATATATGAAGCTAAATATTTACATTGTGTTTTACATCACTGTCCAAGACAACTATTTTTTCCCTAGGAATGAGCATTTCATATTGAAAAATATTTCATTCTATAATTAACCCAGCTAAAGTCTAGAACATAAGGATAGGAAAGAAGAAAGAAAAACTAAAGAAAAGAAATAAAGCCCTGGAGGCTGGACATTTACATCACCTCTAGGAGTGAAAATAATAATGCCTCCTTCACAGATTCACTGCCAACACCTTTTCCTTTATACTGGGCGTACCAAGCTGTTTACCATATGGGTGTTATTTAGCCATCTCAATTGCCTAGGACTGATTGAATGGCACCCACACACACACAAATGTCTACACATTTTGTAACTTAAAAAATTGAATAATAGTTATTACTATTCTGGATAAAAGACAAATGTTTTACCTTTTCATTTCAGTTAATATTCTAGCAACATTAGCCAAAAATCTTCTTAAAACTATCTTAAACTACTCGTGATCTTTGATGATGCTTTTTTAATGTTTCTACTTACTTTATTACATTGAAGCAAGTGATTAGCAGAGTGATTTAAAGTCAATTTCCTAAGGAATGAAATTTATGTTATGTTAATAATGTATGATCACACTATTAGGCCATATTGTCCTCTAGAACAAAGACACTACTTTATCAATGCAGGCCCTCCACGCGTACTTACTAAACAGAACGCTAATCACTCAATAAGCTCATGGTAATGGCATATAAAAAGGTAGTGAGGATGAAGTGGTGGAAAGTGTAGTTATTTCAAATATATTAACTTTAACTTGAGAGGAGTCAGAAAGTTTCCAACTCATTTGCTAAAATTTTATCTTGAATTTGTTAAAATAGAATATCTTCTTCAAAAGAAACATAGACTTTTAGACTAAGAAAATACCATAAAAGGGATATAACTCACAGACACACAATGGAAAAAAATTATTAGTATTATTCTTCTATATTTTATGGTGGGGGAAAGAACTCTAAGCAAACGGCAATGGTCACTGACTGAATTTTGTTAAGTCATTTCACCATTTTGGCTTTTGTTTGCATTTCTATAAAATAATTGATCTAGAAATCTCTGAGTCCCTTCAAATATCTAGCTTTCTGCCTTTCTGCTTCTAGTAGTGGTAAACTCATTACATTTTTTATAGTTTGCCGTAAAATTCAAATTTTGATAATATTCTTGGCTTCCTGTATTTTTATCCATCAGTTGTTTCTGTCAGTGACTCAGGAAACACTAAGCGTACTCTCTCTTAGAATCTTTTACATATCTGTAAGTCTGCTAATGCGTCCTTTCCCCCACAAGTCTTCTCTTTTATAAGCTAAGTTAGTTCTGCCAAAGTGGAGTAAAAATAAAAATAAATAAAAAATAAATAAATAAAAGTAAAAATAAATAAAAATGTAATGCATCCATTTTAATGAAAACACATGGATTGCATTGAGTAAAATAGTAAATTTTAGATTTTGAAGATTTCATTAGAGCTGTTTTGCCCTAAACAAACAAAAAAAGCTATTTACTTAAACATCTTATTTTCTTCAAACACATATTCCACACAGCCTTCAGAATAATTATTCAGAAATACACAACTGAACAATTGTCCTCATTATGTATTCTCTTTGTATCTCTTAAATTGTTCTGGATAAAATCCAAAGTTTCTAATATTTCACAGGGGAACTGATCACCTGTCTTTAGCTCACACTTTTGCTACTCTCTACCTTCCAGTTTTTGGTAAAGCACGGAATTGTCTCTGGTTCCTAAGCCAGAAGCTGCTGTTTCTTTCATTTACTAGTTCAAGCTGGTGCTTCTTCACCAGGCTAATCTATAGTCATTGTTTAAGCAACAACCAAAGCATTACCTCTAAGGAAGCCCTCTCTGGCCTCCAGATGAGATTGTCTCTTCTTATTACCCCATATCATCCAGTGCAAATATCTTAACATTATATTCACCACAGTGATTTACAAATAATGCTTCTAACAGATTCTTCTACACTCAATTCTGAGCTACTTGAGAGTAAGAGCTCCGTTTTGCTCATCTCTGTACCCCTCATGCTCAGCCCAGTGCTTGGCATATGTCAACCTGTTGATAAGCACATGATAAGCACATGAATATGTGTATATTAAATAGGACAAATTCCAGTATGTAACAGATGTTTGATCAACTGTGTAAGAAATACCATTGATCTGTACAGAATGTATGATAAGGGCAATGAAACAATAAAAAATAGGCACCTATTTATATTGCCAGCTAATTTGACACTTAACTTGAAGGAACATTGTGACACATGGCGGATGTTTATCACAATCATGTAGAATGTTCCAGTTTCAAAGAGCATCACAAATGATGTAACTTGAAAGTGGGAGGAAAGCTGCACATCCTTGAAACCCCCTCCTGGGTTCTGTTGTTGAAAGTGGGTGGAAAATGAGTAGAAACTGTATAGATGGCTGCGCACACTTGCCAGGGTAACTGTGTTCAGCCCCTCTTTAGTTCTGCCAAAGTGGAGGTGGTGCATGGAGCATGGTCTGCAAAACAGCAGATGAGGTTGGCTTGGTCCCCATGGAAACCAGATCTCCCATTGAGAAGTAAACATGTTTGGTACTTTTGTAATCAGAATCCATGAAAAAGTAAAAAACAATTCATTTCTATTATATTTGTATTGTCTTGAAAGATTTATGCCAAGTTAGATTCACTGGAATATACTTCCAGTTCTATCACAGACTTTGTCAAGTTATGCTTCATTTTAACCATTGACACAGAGATTGAAAAAGTTTCTCGGTTTGATTCAGTACTCTATAGAAGTCTAGAAAACTAATTCTATTCTATTATTTGATTAGGAATGTATGGTAAAATGACCAATATAGCCAAAGTATATAATTGTTCACTCCAGATCTCTACCTGGCGGCAAAGACATCTCAGTATCAAAATAATTTTACATTAAAAATAATGCTAACTGAAATTAAATAAACAGGTTCCTGGCCATAGCCAAGGTGACATCATTTCCATGAATCTTTAGAATATGCATTACACTTTTATGTAAACTGGAAAAGATGACTTTTCTTCCTAATATATTGATCAGGCAGTTTTTAGGAGCTGTTGTGAAAATATTCAATCCTATCTCTTGAAATTCTTTCTGGGTATTAAATTTTTATCTATACAAGTGAAATAATTCTGTACCTATTGTCATTAATTCATGTTGGAGGATTTGATTGGTGGAAAAATTGTATGTATAGCAATAAATATCCAGTATCTGGAAAATTCTATCCTGGGTCCTAATTATAACAAAAATTGTTACCTTTCTTACATGTAGAAGTAATCCAACCTCACCTACACACTCTGGTTTTTGGAAAATTAAAACTTTGCTTCAATAATTTTATATGTATAAGGTTGGAACACTGAGATATAAAAAGTTTGTTTATTAACTGTGCATTAGGGTCTAAGTGACATTAAACATGTAGATATTTCCAGGTAATGTGACATTTGATATACTATAGACAACTGAGAGGACTGTCCCCCTCATCTTAATATACATATTTTTGTATTGTCTAGGTCTAAAAGTAAAAATAATAATAATACAACTTCTCTAAATATGAAATCACTCCTTCTAATATATTTACATGTGAAGACTCCAAAATTACTACATCTAAAACTTAGCAGATTTTTTGAATTCATCCCAGAACACTTGCCAATCTTATATAAGATTCTTCTTTTGACATCATTTATAGAAATTGGCAGCCATGTGTTTCTAATAGCTCATAAACACCAAGAATTCAGGCTGCTGTTTATTTATTAGGTTTGAGTAAATTTTTAAAAGGCTGTATTTCAATAAGCTGTGCTGTTGTCATGACTGATGATAATATTACAGAGAATTTTCTAATATTTTTGTTAGAAATGTCAATAGCATTTTGTATCATGTTCTAATATAACATAAAGTTTCAAAGTTATTACAAATATCTTAGCAAACTTTGAAAAAAAACCCAAGATTGAAAAAGTAACTATCTCAGGAATAAGCCCTTTTCATGTGTACATGATGTTCTGGAACAGAGCATTTCAAATGTGGTCTATGAAACCTGAGGCAAGGACAAAACCTCAGCTGCAGCAGGTTTTGACCTTGCTCATTTACTAGGATTGAAGGGTCCAGGAATAGGAGGGATTTCTTCCAGCCTATTTGTCCAAGTTCTTTACAATTACTTTCCTAATACATTGCACTGATCCAGTACCTTGTTACCTCTGATGCCTTCAGTCAATCACATATTCCAATGCTCGTCTCTTTTTCCTTGCTCCCTTACCTGACTTTCATTTGCATGTTTTACCCACTTTAGTAAACACTTCTCTCATTGGAAAGGGGCATAATAAAATTAATAGACTAAAGCCAACACCATAGAGCCACAGTGTAATAAGCTATCTCATTCAATGACCTTTCCAATTGAAGAATGTCCTTTATAATAATATCATATAGTAATTTCTCAATCTGTATTAAAGCACATCTTATGGGGGGTAATTTGCTCCTTCCCCAGAAGCCAATTTTATCTTTAGATGTGGTTGATTTTTAGAAAGGTCTGTCTTCTTTTAACTTCAGCCTATTGGTTCAAGTTTTGCCCTCTGAAGAAACATAAAATAAGCCATTTTTTTCTATTATTCCCTTTTTTACATACCAGAAAAACAAATATTGGCCTGTCTGATTCACCTACAGTACATTGCTTATTTTATGGGTGTTTTCTGCATTTGGCAAGGAAAGCAGTTTCCAAATTGAGGTCAGAATCAAAAGTGGCTTCCCAACTGGCCACAAATGTGATGATCACGAGTCTTAGAATCTAATTCAGTTGAGCATGCTCCCTGATTGAAACAGTTTAGAAATTTGCCTGCTGTTTAACCACCTCACTGTCACTATCCACTATCACTTACTGTATTTGTCAATGTTCAGTGAGAAAAGAGAGAACTCACTAGTTATACTAACAGGTAATTTAATCCTAAGAATTCTAAATAGGCATAAAGCTGATGAAGGTAAAAGGCAAAAATAGAACACTAAGTCATCATGGAGCCAGCGATTGCAGAAAGTGGCTGCTACCTGCATGAGTGGAGAAACAAACAAAAGAGCATGGAGTTATTAAAACTTAGTAGCTCAAAAGTTTCAAGAAAGGGCTTTAGAGCAGGCACCAATTCTTAGCTTAGGGGAGGGACCTCAGGGAGCTGGAATTCAGACCTCTAAGGAGGGGGTCCTAGCCTACTAGCTTGGTGTTTTTGAAGAGGCTGGCTTTATAAGTATTGAAGAAACTGCAAACAATCCAACAGCTGCTGCTATTGGAACAAACCATCACCGCAGGGTGAAGTAGCAAAGCTGGAGAGACAGGGACAGCAACAGAAAAACAATAGGAGCAAGCAGAATCCCCTTTTCTTTTTCTAGCCTTTCAGCCTTCCTTTAGCATCCCAACTCATAGGGTCTAACAGGGAGCCAGCTGCCAAACCAGAAATGTGGTTTGCAGAGGCGCAGCCCAAGCTTTATGGAGAAGCATATGGGGTGGGTTTTGAAACTGAGAGATAATAGCTTAATAACTGGCACACTTACTTTACTGTGTTTTTAATTATTTGCATAAATAACTGCCTTTTCAGCCTAAAAATTTCTCTTTGAAGGCAGAAAATACGTTTGTGCTCATTCCATTATATGAAATAGTATTTGATCTACTTTTGCTGTTGAATAAATGCATGTTTAATGTATAATGGCCCTGTGTTTATCCATGTTAACTAGCATTCTGTTAAATGCAGCAATTGTTCTAGTTTTAATTTTTTTCCCCCACAGAAATAATTCTGGGTCTCTTAGTTATTACTCCCAGCTTTTGGATCATCTGCAAATTTTGTATGCATTAACTATTATTACAAATAATTGATGTAAAATTTGTTGTAAAACAGTCTTTCTCTAACCTCAAAGGATGTAAACATCACCTGGTGAGCCACTTAAACATAGGTTCCTGGGTCTTACTCCAATGATTCTGATTCAGTAGATCTGAAGTGGGACATGAAAACTTATATTTCTAACAAACTCACACACATGCTGAAGCCTCCCTTCATTTTTAGTTACGTTGCTTTAGTAAAAAGTCAGAATGTGTCAGTCTGTTAAAGCTGCTTCATACTTTAATTCAACAAAACATTTATTGGCCACATAATATCTATAAATCACCCTGTTGGAAATTTCAAGAAATCCTGCAATGATTAAAATATGTTCTCTCTTCTCAAAGGGTTTTAAATTAATAACACAGTAGACATGCCTGACAGCTATAACTTGACTTGCACATTCTCTGAGAATGATCTTGTATGGCAGACACAACTGAATGTGTGTTGAGTTCCAAGCTCAGGAATCTGGGAGTGGCCAACACGGAGATCCATTACTTATCTGTGAGGAACATCTGAGCCCCTCACCACAACCACCATTCTGTGGAACGTGGGCCATGCAGGGAATGGAGGCCATGTGTTTTGGGTTAAATGAAGTTTTCTAGGTGGAGGTTGTTAGGGTAAGGGTGTTAAGTGAAAATGCTATACAAAGTGCATGATTTTTGTGAGGGACTGCAGTTCTTTTGCCCAGCTTACCACCACTGGGCCGTGCAATTATCCTGTCCAGCCTGCTGCCACTGGACTCTCCTGTACATAATTCCCCCAGAAAAACCCATGTGTCATTCACTGGCTCTGCACCTCTTCTTCAGCCTCTTGAAGCTGGTCCCATACCAGTTGGAGTTGATACGGATTTAGCATGACAATAACTTAGTATAAAACCTACAATCATTAAATAAGGACTAAAACTGTGCAAATAATGTTATTTGGGATACACAGAGGAAGGAAACATAATCAAATAGTGATTTTTTTTATGTCAAATCTGAAGCTGACTTTGGAATGTTAATTAAAATTATGTATTACTTGTTTTTATTCTTAATAAATAAGTAATGTGGTTAGAATATCCCATTACAGATCAGTGTTATTCAGCTTCAACTATTTTATTGGTACTTTATATCCATTACTTAAGTAATTTCGGTGTCTATTCTTTACTCAGATTTCTGCTTTTATATACTTCATGATAGAATTTATTTTAAAAAAACAAAATAAGGAAGGAAAATTTCAGATAAACCTCTGAAAGTGGTGTAATGGAGAAAGTGAGAGGGACAAAAGTGAAGGAAAAAATGTGCAGAAGCTGATGATCTCTCTCTCTATCCATGACTCCAAAATGCTAGAATGTCATCATCAGAGCACTAGACATTTGCTGCCACATGTATCTACAGATCATGTTCTCATAGCCACAGACTGTACTAAGTGTAACCAGATCATTTGTTCAGAAAGGGGTTTCAGTGGAATGATGAGAATGAAGCAAATAAAACCAATTTCCTGTAGTCAATACTGAGGGGAAATATCAATTTAAATGGAATACCACAGACCCACAGCTTTGGGCCTGATTCCCTAGATTCAAATATTGGATTTCTTAGCTGTTAAGGTGCAAACTAATGTGGTAACTCTTTTATGGGATTATTTTGAGGATTTAATGCATAAATTCAGTTAATGCACTGAGAAGTATCTGGTAGATAGAAATTACTAAACATAGCTGAGTTATTATTTTACAGATAGATCAATAACATCATCTTCATACAAAGTATAGTTGGTCTGTTATCCAAAAAGCATTATTTTAAGACGAGTAATTTTTGGTAATGCATTTGAATATTTTTGAAAATGAATTTAAAAATTACAATTTTTAAGACTAAAACATATTACTTAAACATGTTTATCCCCTTTGCTTTCCTTTATCTTATTGAGAAAGATAAAATAAGTAGTATAAAGAATAGTTTAAATAGATATTTGGATAAATATTGTGATGGGTTGTAAAAGTTTACCAAAATTTAAAACAGCATAGATAATAAAAAATGAGCAGTGTTTTATCTTAGTTTGAAAATATAAGCACTATTATGACTATGCTAACAATTTGTACATTATAGAACATTCAAGTTCTTGTTTTACACTTGTTTTGCATCTTTAAACCTTTAGCCATTATTATTTGTTAAAATATCAAAGAGCATTAAACAAGGCCAATAAAATAATATAATAAAATTCTTCCACTTGGCAATTAATTGTAATTGAAACATGGCTAAAATGGTGCTTAGTACTTAGAAATACTAAATGTTATATTTCTAAATTACCTGGATTCAGGCCACTTTATTATATGAGAAAGAGGCAAGCCCCATCTTAAAAGATGATTCTGCATATTTTATTGCTGTTTTGGCCAAACTATCTCCTTTATTTCTTCATCAAAAAAGAATTATCTCAAAAATACAGTGTCTAGGGACATATTGGCATTATAGACTGATATTATATGCCTTTTCTCGATACATAATTGTTACAAAGATTAACCTAAAACCAATAAGCTTATATGTGTCTGTATATGTGAGTGTACATATTTCCCCATCCTGAGCCCTGCTTCTCTCAGATACTTTTACATGTGCGGGCGTTCTTCATTCTTTTCATTCTCATGGTACCTAACTGTGAAACTCAGAAATTGAGTTTCAGATATCATGGTAGAAGGAGGAAGATCTTGGGTCTATCCTGATTCATCTAAGTCAGTGGCTCTCAGCCTTAATTGCACATTGGAATTTCCTGGGGAACAGAAGGGCTCGGAATGTTTTTTGTAAAATCTTTTCAAGTGATTATAAAATGCAGCTAAGTTTGCAGACCATTGCTTTAAATCAACAAGTAGGTGTATTTTCTTACTACTATATTCTTGCCACCACCCATCCAACCCATTTTACCTGGATCCTGCCAACCTCTGATTAAGACACCTATTGAGCATTATTAGTACATGCACACATCAGTGCATTCATGATGACAAAAAGATTCTCCCTTTTTATAACAATTACCATATTTGGGAGATTTATGCTTAATTTTTTTTAAAAAAATACTTATTTATGCCAGTGTATATGAGGCACCAGCCTAGCTGCTACTGGAAATACAAAGGTGAGTTGGATATACTGTTTGCAGTCAAGGAGCTTGAAATTTTGTGAAAAGAGACAAATTCATGTGCAAAGATATTTTAGTATCAGAAAGGTTTTAATGCAGTTTTTTTCAACACGGGCTGTACATTAGAATCACCTGGAGAGTTTTAAAAAATGTTGATGGCTGGCCCCAGAACTGCATCAGGGTTCCCCAAGAACTGCATCAGAATTTTTCAAGTGCTCCCCACGCAAATGTCTCTAATGTGTCTCTGGGACTGGGAAGCACAACTTTAATTTATGTTCTAATAGCAATAAAAGTTCTATGACAATGAGGAAAGAAATGGTTTTGAGGAATAGGGAGCATTGAATGTTAATGGAGGATGCTCATGAACTTATTGTATAGCAGATACTTTACATGAGTTAATTCACTTAATTATCACACAAAAAAACCCTGAAATAGATGCTATAATCCCTTTTTTAACAACTGAGAAAACCAAGTTACAGAAAAAGTAACTTACCCAAGACCGAGGAGATAGCGGAGTCCAAACCAGGGACTCTAACGTCAAGGCTTGTTCTCAAATACTATGCTATTCTTCCTAAAGAATGGGAATTTAGAAAGTAGATCAATGTAAATACATTCCAGGAGAAGAAACAGAATGCATGATATGGAGTAGTGGTTACAAGCAAAGGCCCTGGGGCCAGATACATGCCTCTTCAAATTCTGGGTCTATCATGAATTAGGCAAGTTACTTAGCTTCTGTGCGCCCCAGTTTTCCCATATGTACAGAAAGAATAATAAGAGCACTTATTTCACAGAATTGGTGTAAGATGAAATAAATCAATACGTTAATATTAGCAATGATAGTTGCTTTGAGAAAAAGAACAACTACCAGGGAAGTTGAAATGTCTGGTTGTAAAACAGTAAGAAGTCCAGTGTTAGATTATGGGACACATGGTAGCCTAAATAGTTAGCATGTTTGTAATTCCAAGTTTAAACCTACTGTCCTGTTGTAATAATTGGGAATGCCTGCTTTACTCTTAAATATGTCCTGGTTTGGACAATAAAGAGAAGATCTACCATCACTGTAGTATATCAAGTCTTAACAGCCCAAGTAAGGGGTTTATAGGAAGCATCAATAATGGACTTTGATTATGGAAGAGAAAAAAATAAGATCTGTGTTTTTAAAAATAACTCAGGCATCAGTATTTGATGGATTGCAAATTTGTAAAATGTTGTAATTTCCAAATGCAAAGCAGTATACACACGTGCTTTGAAAGATACCGTGGGCACTGGGGACATAAATCAGGGGGAGAAGATTTGAGAATGACATGTATCCTAGTGAGACCGAATCTTTAATCTTTGCAAACAAGCATCAAGCTAGGACTTGTTTCATTATTAAGGCCATGTGTGGCCTGAAACACTCAAAAAGACCAGACCTCAATAAATTTGGCCAAATTTTCAGTGGTGTGTGGGTTTTGATTTTTCTCACTGCGTGACATAATGGTAATCCAGTCCAGAGTGAAAAACACAGTGTCATATCTAAGTCTTTATGACCCATGGACTGAGAATGGGGACCAGGTGAGCAAGCTCATCTGTGTGATAATAAAAGGGAGGGTGAAACAAGAGGAGAAGGAGAGAAGTGGTTGCTGTCAGATGTTTTAAGAACTGTCATTCATCTGAAAGAGCACAGGCGCCCAGCTCTTGTGAAAAGGAGTAAGCCTGTGTTATTTTCCTTACCTAGCTGATTTTCATGTGGATATGATTCTCAGTCCGAGATCCTTCTAAAAGAACACATCAGCTCTCACGCAACATTCAAGAAACATGGAAAATAAGTGAACCTATGACTGAAAACTGAAGCCAGAATTTCTGCATTCCTGAAAGTACCCATAGTTCCTTTAATTATACTCAGGGCTTGTAAACACGAAAGTGTTTCACAGATATAGAGAATCCAAGGGGTGAGCCAAAAAATAAAATAAATATATGGTTTGGCAAAACCAAACTAGATTAAAGCAACATGATTTTCTAAGAAAGAGAAATAGAGGAATAGTACCAATGATGGAATCATGAAAAATGCTACTTATTTGAGAAAGGTTTGTAACTGAGAGATTGTCAATTTTGATAAATATAACAAAGATACAGGAGATAAAATAAGAGGAAATATTTATTTTAAAAATTGTCATTTTAAGAACACAAAATCTCCTTTACCTATTGTCACATTTCCAAACTTTGCTTTCAGAGAGAGACAGAAAGATCCTAGAGTTTATTACTTCTGTGGTGATTACTGAAAATAATATTTTAATAATGATCTCCAATATATTTTTACTATTAAATATCTTCATCTTGTTTTACTAATTCCTATTCGTCTAATTTCTGAGGTTTTACAGGCTCTTTCGTACTGCATTACTCTTAGCCAGATTCCTATCCATGCAACATAAGGAGGTCTCTGATGTCAAAATGAATCTCATATAATTTGTTAGTAAATCAGACCAACAATTTAAGAAGTAGTTTTCAGAGAAAGCCCAATTGTGTTTAAATACATCTGCAAAGTACTTTGTTCCCCTCAGCATCTAGAAGGCACACATGAAATTGATTGAGGTTATTAGACATGAAATACTTCAATCAAGTTATTCCACAAGAAGAAATAAGAATTTGTTATGTTCATTAGCAATTAATACGCAGGTTATCACTTGATTCATTAGCATGCTTTTGCAAACACAAGTTTGTTATCTAATTTGCCTTCCCAGAATTCCTCTCGCTTCTCACTCTCCCTGGCAGGAAGTCGCTGTGGTGACATCTGTTTCTTGTAGAACTATCAAGAACGATAAGCAACTTCTTGTGTTGCTTAAGTCATGGGTTTTTTCCTTCTTTTCTCCAGCAGTTAATGTGCTTCTTTTCTGCCATATGGAAAAGATAAATACCAGAACCTAAAATATCAGAGTACTAGAGAAACGAGAATGAAACTCTTTGAACACTGACCATGAAGGAAGTACTTAAGAAGTACGTTCAAAGGTGTTGGGATTTCTGTGTTTTTGCTATTAAAGTAGTGACCATATCAAAAATGTTAGCTGGCAAAATTTTTCCTTTATATCATCCTATTCAAAATTCAAATAGGTGCAAAGAGGTAAAACCATACCTCATTTCCAGTTATTTATTGCTGAACAACAAAACACCCCAAAAGTTTTTGACTTCAAATAACATTTTATAATTATCCTAATGGATCTGTGACTGACTACGCTCAACTAGGTGGTGGTCTCAGTTGGAGTCTCTTGTGCATCGCAATGAGATATTGGCTGGAAGTGCAGCCATCTGATGACTCGACAGGACTAGATAACCACAGTGGCCCATTCATATCACTGAGAGTTGATGAACGCTGTTGGTTGGGAGTTCAGCTGGGGCTGCAAATTTTAGCACTTAGACCAGCCTCTCCGAGTGGCTTGGACTTCTGATGGTATGGTAGTTTGGTTTCAAGAGAGAGTGTCCATAATACTCAGACAAAAAATGACAAGTTTTTTAATGACTCAGATTCAGAAGTCATGTGGCATCACTTCTGTCATATTTTACTGTTCAAAAAGTGAGTCACTGTGTCAACCTAAATTGAAGAGGTAGGATCACACAAGGACCTGAATACAAGGTGGCATCTCTTTGGGAGGAAAGGAAGGAATACACCATTGAAGAGTAGATACCAGACCTCAAATTAAAACCTTATATGAAAAGCCAGAGAGAAATTTTATATAAAAAATATTCAAACTTAAAGAATTTATAGATTCAGGGTCCAGTTTGTTTTAAAACATATAATTTCATTCAGTGTCTAAGATTACTTTACATAATACCCAACTATATTGGATTTTGTATTTATAAATACATATTAATATACATATGTTTTAGTAAATAAGATTTCACATTACTATCATTACTGCAATACTTATACTAGGGATAAGTTTTCCTTTTTCAATATTGATCATTTCCAATAATAATGGCTAGTGTTTACTGAGGATTAACAAAGTTGTAGAAATTGTCATGCTTTTGGTATATTAATCCCATAACAAATCTATAAAAGAAGTACTATTTATATCCTCACTTTATAGATGAAGACAAAGGCTCAAATATTAAGAATTGACTAATAATCTTATTGCTAATGAGTGACAGAGCTGCAACTTGGTACCAGGGAATCTGGATCCAGACCTCGTACTCTTAAATATAATAGCGGCTACAAAATATCTCAACAAGTACAAATGTGATCATGTTACCCTGCAATGGAATCTGGGTCAGAGTTTTAAGTAATGTCTATTCCCTCCAGCCAAAGACCAGGAACATGTGTAGTACAGCAAGCTGGGCGTATTACACATTGAGGCACTGAAGAACACCCAATGTGGAAACATGGAATGTCTCAGTAAGACGTTTTTAGAAAGAACCTATTATAGGATTTGGGCTTTGATTGGGTGAGTTTTGACAGGTTCTAAGAAAGCAGTGATTTGCTCTAGATTCAATGCCATAAGGAAGTGATGGCAATAATACGATTGGGTATCTCATGAAATATTATCTATAAGAAACGAAAACTTCAGGAAGGATAAAGCTGTAATTAAGGTAAAGAAATAGCAGTCACTCACACTAGCCAAGAAACAGTGATTCTTAGTATTTGGTGGTTTGCACAGTGACCTTGTTTTTCTCTGTGTTTAGGCAAAATTATTAAATGTTTGTTTTTATTTCACTTTATCATGATCTCATTGTCTAATGTTGATGTTCTGTATGATTGTTTATATCCAGCTTCTGTCCAACAGCAGAACAACATGGCCTAGATGTGAGTGTCAGACCAATTCCTGGGTCAGAAGCTGCTTTCTTAAAATTTCTTCAAAAAATGTCTTAGTAGGGGCCAGGCACGGTGGCTCACGTCTGTAATCCCAGCACTTTGGGAGGCCGAGGCGGGTGGATCATGAGGTCAGGAGATAGAGAGGATCCTGGCTAACACGGTAAAACCCCGTCTCTACTAATAATACAAAAAATTAGCCGGGGAGTGGTGGCAGGCGCCTGTAGTCCCAGCTACTCGGGAGGCTGAGGCAGGAGAATGGCATGAACCTGAGAGGTAGAGGTTGCAATAAGCTGAGATTTTGGCATTGCACTCCAGCCTGGGCGACAGAGCGAAGCTCCATCTCAAAAAAAAAAAAAAAATTTCTTAGTAGACTAATTTTTTTGACTGAATATAGTGGATCCTATTTATTTTAGCACATTATTTTTCTTTAATGCTTAAAATGCAGAGTTAACACAAATAATCTAAACAAAGACACTGTATATTTGTAATTTATAATTTTAAGTGATTTTGTTAGTAAAAATGTTTTATCAAAGATCATTTCATTATTAACTATCTCTATATAATAGGCATTTTATTTTAAATTGCGTTGTCATATTATGAAGAAAAACAGTTTTAAAAAATAATGAATTTTTTTAGTGAAATTAAAGGAAAAAGGGCTGATACATTGACAGTGATGACTGGTTTTATATTAATTAGGTATATGTTTCAATATTAATATTAAACTGCCTCTTTTACATTAATTGATTTTGGAATCATTTCTATACATTTATATTGAAATAAAAGACTAGAGATTTTGAAACAAGATATACTGAGAGGTCAACATGATACATAAGATTCATAAAAGTTTTATTCCATATAAATTGTTAGCAGTATACTGCAATAAAATGAAGACTTACTTTTTACCCATTCAACATGTTGGCAGACTAGGTTAAATTTTGTTAAGATACTTAGCCAAGTCCAGAAAATCAGATTGGATAACATCTCACCATAGGTAGAATTTAGCATTTAGGCTAAAGAACGTCACAAGGTGATTTAGTGCAGGAAAAATAAAAATAAAAACTATTTAGTTCATATAACTACTAAGTCTCATTTCTCTTACTGCATATTTTTGTTTATCCTTCAGGGCTCAGCTCAGTTTTCACTTCCCTTGCTTGAAATGATTGCTGTCCTTTGTGGTCCCTAAAACACTTTCAATAATTCTATCATTTTTGTCTGTCTATCCAACTAGACTGTGGGTTCTTCAAGAATAGAGTGATTCATCTCCTTACCTCAGTGCCTAAAATAATGTCTGGCATATAATGAGTGTTCGAAAAATGCCTGTTGAATGAATGCATGAATGAATTCATAAATGTTAGCTTTTATTCTCAGCTCAGGGATAAATTGGCTTAAGAATGTTCTTTCTCATAATTAACAAGGTAAGCATACAATAAGCAATCGGTTGACTTTAAAGGTGTAGTAATTTTCTAAATTATGCAGGAAAGCTCTAACATTATTTTTTGATGTAAAGTTACTCTTTTTATTTCCTATACCCATAAGACAAGATCTTTTCTTTTTTTTAACTTTTATTTTGGTTTCAGGAGTTCATGTGCAGGTTTGTTATACAGGTAAATTGCATGTCACAAGGATTTGATGTTCAGATTATTTTGTCACCCAAGTAATAAGTATAGTACCAGATAGGTAGTTTTTCTATCCTCACCCTCCTCCCACCCTCCACCCCCAAGTAGCCTCTGGAGTCTATAATTCCCTTCTTTGTGTCTGTGTGTACTCATTGTTTAGCTCCGATGTATAAGTGAGAACATTCGGTATTTGGTTTTCTGTTCCTGTGTTACTCCACTTAGGATAATGGCCTCCAGATTTATCCATGTTGCTGAAAAGGACATGATCTCATGTTTTATGGCTGCATAGTATTCCATAGTATATATGTACCACATTTTCTTTATCTGGTCTACCATTTGTGGGCATTTGGTTGATTCCATGTATTTGCTACTGTGAATAGTGGTGCAATGAACATATGCATGTATCTTTATGGTAGAATGATTTATATTCCTTTGGGTATATACTGAATAATGGGACTGATGGGTTGAATGGCAGTTCTATTTTAAGGTCTTTGAGAAATCACCACTGCTTTCCACAGTAGCTGAACTAATTTACATTCCCACCAGCAGTGTAAGAGCATTCCCTTTTCTCTGTAGCCTCACTAACATCTCTCATTTTTTGACTTTCTAATAATAACCATTCTGATAGGCGTGAGATGGTATCTCATTGTGGTCATGATTTGCATTTCTCTAATGATTAGTGATGTTGAGCATTTTTTCCTATTCTTGTTGATCACATGTATGTCTTCTTTTGAAAAGTGTCTGTTCTTGTCTGTATTAGGGTTCTCTAGAGGGACAGAATGAATAAGACAGATGTATATATAAGGGGAGTTTATTAAGGAGTATTGACTCACAGGATCACAAGGTGAAGTCCCACAACAGACCATCTGCTAGCTGAGGAGCAAGGAAGCCAGTCTGAGTCCCAAAACCACAAAAGTAGGGAAGCCAACAGTATAGCCTTCAGTCTGTGGCCAGAGGCTCGAGAACCCCTGGCAAACCACTAGCGTAAGTCCAATAATTCAAAAGCTAAGGAACTTAGAGTCTGATGTTTGAGGGCAGGACGCATCCAGCATGGGAGAAAGATGAAGTCAGGAAGACTCAGCAAGTCTGCTCATTCCACTTTCTTCTGCCTGCTTTATTCTAGTTGCACTGGCAGCTGATTAGATGGTGCCCTTCCAGATTGGGGGTGGGTCTGCCTCTCCCAGTCCATTGACTCAAATGTTAATCTCCTTTGGCAACACCCTCACACACACACACCCAGGAACAATATTTTACATCCTTCAATCCAATCAAGTTGACACACAATATTAACCATCACGAGTATTATGCTAGTGAGTCACTAGGATGTCTTTTGCCCACTTTTTAAGGGTGTTGTTTGTTGTTTGCTTGCTTGTTTAAGGTACTTATAGATTCTGGATATTAGACCTTGTCAGATACATAGTTTAAGAATATTTGCTTCAATTCTGTGGGTTTTCTGTTTACTATGTTGATAGCTTCTTTTGTTGTGCAGAAGTTGTTTAGTTTAACTAGGTTTCATTTACCAATTTTGTTTTTGCTGCAATTGCTTTTGGCCTTTTCGTCATGAAATCTTTGCCCCTTCCTAAGTCTGGAATAGTATTTCCTAGGTTTTCTTCAAGAGTTTTTATAGTTTTAGACATGACATTTAAGTATTTAATCCATCTTGAGTTGATTTTTGAATATGGTGTAAGGAAGGGGTCCAGTTTTAATGTGCATATTTCTAGCCAGTTATCCCAGCACCAGTTATTGAATAGGGATTCTTTTCCCCATTGCTTGTTTTCTTGACTTTGTTGAAGATCAGATAGTGGTAGATGTGTGGCCTTTTTTCTGGGTTCTCTATTCTGTCCCATTGGCCTATGTGTCTGCTTTTGTACCAGTAACATGTTGTTTTGGTTACAGTAGCCTTGTAGTATAGCTTGAAGTTGCGTAATGCGATTCTTCCAATGTTGTTTGTTTTGCTTAGGAATGCTTTGGTTATTCAGGCTCTTTTTTTGGTCCATGTGATTTTTAGAATTTTCTAATTCTATGAAGAATGTCATTGGTAGTTTGAAAAGAATAGCATTGGATCTGTACATTGCTTTGGGCAGTATGACTATTTTAATAATATTGATTCTTCCCATGAGCATGAAATGTTTCCCATTTGTTTGTGTCATCTCTGGTTTCTTTCAGCAGTGTCTTGTAATTCTCATTGTGGAGATATTTCATCTGCCTTGTTAGCTGTATTTCTAGGCATTTAATTTTTATGTGGCTATTGTGAATGAGATTGCACTCTTGGTTTGGACTCAGCTTGAATATTGCTGGTGAATAAAAATACTACTGATTTTTGTACATCGATTTTTGTATCCTGAAACTTTCTGAAGTTGTTTATCAGATCTAGGTGCTTTTGGGCAGAGGCTATAGGGTTTTCTAGTTATAAAATCATATTATCTGCAAACGGATATAGTTTGACTTCTTATTATTATTTGGATGCCTTTTCTTTCTTTCTCTTGCCTGATTGCTCTGGCTAGGACTTCCAGTACTATGTTGAATAAGAGTGATGAGAGAGGATATCCTTGTCTTGTTCCAGTTCTCAAGGGGGGATGCTTCCAGCTATTGCCCATTCAGTATAATAATACTGGCTGTGGGTTTGTCATAGATGACTCTTATTATTTCGAGATATGTTCCTTCAATGCCTAGTTTGTTGAGGGTTTTTACTATGAAGGGATGCTGAATTTTATTGAAAGCCATTTTTGCAGCAAGATGTTTTCTTGGGACTGTTTTGTTGTTTTGTTTTTGGAATTTGTTTTAGAAAATATAAAACAGGTGTGGATCATCTGTAGTCATTTAAAGAAACTTGAAAGTGAAATTTTGAGTGTATACTTCATAAAACACATACAAAGTTAGCTTAATTTCAAAAGCAAATAAAACAAATGTTGATATGTATAAATACCACATAAAAAGTGTTGAAATTAATATCAGAACTTCAGAAAATGAACCCCCAATGTCTAGAATGCTAAGACAAGAACAAGTAAAACAAATTTGTTAATTCACAGATATTTATAGCCATATATAAAGTACTAAATATAACATTGCTATAGACTATTATTCAGGGCAAATTCATAATTTTTTTTGAAATAAGACCTTACAAAAAGGTCTTCATAGTTTTATTCTATAAATTAGTAAGCAAACATTATGAAATTAGCCTTATTTTGTTAACTATTATTACTCTTAAGTGCAAAAAATGAGCAAATTCTTTCCAATAATTCCGGTTGCACCAATTAATAATAATTGTGTCAATTGTAATAGTATCTAGAGTAATCATTCTATCTCTTATAATTTTATTATAGTCTGCATGTAGAACAGACCTGATTTGATTCCCAAATATCTTGAGAAAAGTGTAAAGAGATGTAATTCAAAGAGGAGCCATTTTTCTTTAATAAAGTAAAAATAAATATTTTATTCATTCTTCCTGAAAAATGCACTGTAACCTATTAGTACTAAAATGAAATTCAAATCTTGTATAATGAACCACAGGAAATTTATGAACATATTCATATATCTGCATGGAGCCATATTTCTGAGGAATGGGGAGAAACAAACTGCCAAAATGGAGGTTATAAATAGGTTTTCTTGGCTTTATTCATATAGATCTTTAGATCCCCGGTTAGAAAAGCATGTACTATAGTACATAGACGTTTTTACTATAAATATATGAGAGACACATAGTAAATTTTGGGGAACATTTTATGCCATTGTAACAGTGAAATATTTCACTGCTAAAAGAAATCTAATAGAATTACCATGAAAGTGTACAAAATAGCACTCTATCCCATCCTTTACCCCCTCACCTGGGTCCTGACAGTCTCTCCCCCTCCATCTTTCTCCTATTCTCTGTCTCTCCAACTGTTAAACCCTAAAAGTTGGAAGTACTTTTTTATATTAAAGAACAACATTTTATCAAAAATTTTTATTGCTAAACACCTGAATATTTGAAGACTTTATTCGTAAGAAATACTCTATAACTTAAAAAAGTAGCAGGTAATAATTCACAGTCCAAATGCTATTCATCATTTACCAAATAATTATTACATCAGCATTTGTGATCTAAGTTATGTTGCTAGTGATTAGCATGACTGTAACCAACCTTTAGGTGTGGGATATTAATAAAATTTTCATTAAGTGCTTGCTATATGCCAGATGAATACTTTGTGATAACTTAGGTTCATAGAAGCTAAGTAATTTGCACAATGTTATAAAACCGGTAAGTGGCAGAATCAGGATTAAAATACAGCCAGACTGGCTTTTGTACCCCTACACTGAACCTCTACGCTATACTGTCCTTGCTATAGAACATCTGGTGGCTCTTCTTTTATAGATAAGGAGACCAAGATCCACTGAATAAGTTGTGCAAAGTTATTTTTCTCTCAGTATCATAGATTTCCACTTTTCTCGTTCTAATTGCCCCCTTGGAAAACCTGTGCCTTTCTCCAGGGGCCCAATATTTTATTAGCTCCATCCACAGGCCAGCCTTGGGCAACATTCCCGGTGTACCTTGACTTTGGCTTAGGCCATTTGGCCAAAGTAGAAAGGTCCTGAAGTATACGGGCTAGGCCAGAGAGTGGCAGTTTTAGATCAACAACAGAATCTGAAAAAGAGACAGATAAATAATGAGGAGAGGGAGAAATCTTGCAAACATAAAAGGGGAGAATGGGGGAAATTAATCTGCAAAAGAGACTATCTTTAGAAGAAGAGAAAATTTTCTGGATTTCAATATTTGGGGAATGATATATTGGTTATATTCTAGTTGCCTCTCTACTATGACTGAATGTTTGTTCCACCTACCCACCAACAATTTATATGTTGAAATCCTATTCCCCCAAAACAATGGTATTTGGAGATAGGGTCTTTGAGAGATAATTAGGTCATGAGAGTGGAGCCCTCAAGATTGGACTAGAGCCTTTATAAAAAAAGACAGGAGAGAACTTGTTTCCTCTCCCTTGGATCTAGGCCATGCAAAGATACAGCTACAAGGCAGCTGTCTGTAAGCTATGATGTAGTTCATCACCAGACACCTGATCTTGAATTTCCCAGCCTGCAGAATTGTGAGACATAAATGTTTGTTATTTCAGTCACACCATCTATGGCATTATTGTTGTGGCAGCCCAAACTGATCCAGACATCCTCCAAATTCATTCTTCACACATGGGTTCTTTTTCCTCTGTCAATGGAAGTTACCAGCAGGCTTTGGAGGATAAGAGTGCTATGTCAGGTATTTATGCCCCTGGTTCCCTTACTGTTAGATTCTTGTGGCTTGGCTGTGAAGTTCCTCAAATGACTCCTTCTCATCAGGCTATTGGCCCTCTCGTTATACTCTTCTTCCAGGAACCACCTCTTCCCCTTCCCCCTTCAGATCTAGCAGTGATGATGGCTCTGTGTTGTTGTTAACCCTAGATTGCGGCATGCTTTTGGTGGTGTCTTTAAGTCCCTGACTGAGACAGTAAACCTGGAAGATGGGAAAGAAGTAGTCAATAAAATCTGATTGAGCAGAAAGTAGAGAATACAGAGAAGCATATTTTACCTGATTATTATTAAGAAAGATTTTCTGAACAATAACAATGCAGTGTGCAGCCTGAAGAAACAGAAATGTCACCATTTGAAGATGAAAGTCAGGCAATTAAAGGTATTTAGTAAAGTAAGAATTTCAGGATGTAGGCCCAAAACTTACAAGAAATAAAATCAAAATCAATCTGTGGTTGTTCAAAGTGTCCTATACCAAGTACTTTGGAGGGCCTCACCATTTCATAGCACTCATTTAATCAAACATTTTACTTTAATTTAGATCCAGTCTTTGTATATTAGTGTTATAAAAGGAAGGCTAACTATAAAAGAAAAATAAGAATATATTAGGCTTAGTGTCCTATTAGATACTTAGAACTTGGCTAAATACTTTTTAACATCAGGTTTCTTGAGCTTTAATTTACAAATAGTAGTATTCACCTTGTTTGAGTGTATAGTTCTGAGTTTTGACTGACATATATACTCATGTTACCCCCACCAAAATTAAGATATAGAATATTCCCTTCAAACCAAAAAATTTATTGGTGGCCATTTATAATCAGTTCCCTCCACCAAACTCAAGTACCAGACATTAGCAACTGCTCATCTGATTTCTGTCCCTACAGTTTTCTGTTTTCCCAGAATTTCAAATAAATAGAATCTTACAGTATGTAGCCTTTTATGTCTGACTTATTTCCCTTAGCATAGTGTTTTGGAGAGTCATCCTTATTATTCTATCAATACTATACAAACTATGTATCAAGAATTCATTCCTAGTTGCTGAGAAATACAGTATTTTATAGATGTACCACAATTTTTTATCCATTTTCCTGTTGATGAACTTTTGGGTTATTTCTAGTTTGGGGTGATTATGAATAAAGTATCTACAAGTATTCAGGTAAGTTTTCTATGTTTTCATTTCTTCAGGGTAAATACATATAAATGGGAATGTTGGGTTATATAGAGCTATATAGAAATTCTCTAGGCCATAGTTTCTTCATTTATAAAATAGAGATAAATTGTTTTTGTGTGGATTAAATGGGTAAACATGATGTGGCATTTAGAATAGTCTCTGGCACATAGTAAAAACTCAATAAATGCTAGTTATTAACATTATCAGGGACATATTGTCAATTCCAGTCCAAATCCCAAATTGGCCTCTTGCCTGAAATTCTTTTAAGTTCAGAAGGATCTGTATCTGTGGATGTGTTTATTTATTTTGTTCTTTGTTCCAGCAGAGTTTAAGAAGACATCTGTCAATAATAGAGAACTGAAGCTTACCTGAAGATAATAAATGATAACATTTGAATTTTGTTTCATCTTTGGAGTTTAAGATTCAGCTTCATAGTGGCAGGATAATCAGCAGACACTCATACATAATAGTATGGCCTTTAAAATACCCCATCAATATTTATCAACTTATACGCCTATGTAATAATACTGATCCCTACAATAGCACTCCATTCCTTTAGTTCTAGTTTACAAGATAAAAGAAATAAGGCATGAGCAATTAGAACATGTCAATAGAAAGCTTAGCATTAAAGACAGAACCAGAATTAAATATTCCTAAGGTGTTTGTCTCCTATTTATTTATCAGACCACACTGGCCTTATAAGTGTTTGTGTATGTGTGTGTGTTAAATAACATACTCATTAACAAAAAGAGTTCTGCAATTGAATTAATTTTATCTTTCAACCTTAGAATTTTAGACTCTTTATGACTCCCAAATGCTATAAAAAACACCTATATTCAATATTCTTAATCTTTCTCTTGCTTGGCAAGTTATTAATATAATATCAATGACAGGAAAAAAATACAAAATCTCTAAGTTTCCTCTCAAAAGATAAAAATTAAAGAGCAAAATCTGTGAGTTCTAAATTGTGTATTCTCTCTAACACTTTGCCCTGTATATTTTAGAATTATTTTTGTTAGTTTGAGACAATTTTTGATAGTTTATTTAGAATATTTATATAGTGTAAGAAAAATCCATTTCTGTTAAGGCATACACACACACAAACCCTAATATATTCAAAAGAATTCAATAAGCCACCTAAATGAAACTGTTACAAATGGGAATTATGCATGTGAAATAGGCTCAAATTTCTTTTAGCAAATTTCCCATCCTTTGGATTCACCTGATGTTTGAGCTCATGCAGTCCTGAAGAAAATCCAGCTCGGAGTGAAATTTAGGAGGGCAGAACAAAGCAGTCAAATCCAAGTGATGAGAGCTGTCAATAGATCTGCCATGGGATAAAATTGGCAGGTTCTGCTTGGCTCTAGTCACAGGTGGAACATAATTTGATGGCTTTATCTATACCTCTCCTGAGCATTTTTTTCCACATCATGGAAATCTGGTTCAATTCAGTCTGACAGATGGATATCCGACTTGTAGAAATGTGGGAGCCCTTGCAGCTCACACTAAAAGAAACATGACCGCCAGCCTTCTTGGGAACAGAGATACAAAGTCAGAAAGTTGTGATATTGGGGACATCTGTTACTGAGTTTCATGTTCCTAGCCCAGGCATGCACTGTGTGAACCATAATATACATATGGCCCCCTGCAGATAAATTTGTTACCTTGATTAAGCTTCTGGAAAGAAGAACCAGAGGAGTTGCATAAATGTTGGATTTACCTAATTGCATTTAAATCGTTCTCTGAACATAACAAATGTGATTTAGCTCTGCAGGTTCACTGTCGCCAATATACTAAATATATTTGGGGCCCTGACTCTGATCACCAGGATCAACTAAAGGGGTTAATGGTCATGAAAATGTTATTTAATGTCACTTTAGGGGTATTTGCAGTTTTTATTCAAAATTTGAAGAAATTCAGGATGTTAGTTCATGAATATCACAAAATGCTACAGTTTTTTTCCTTTCCTGGTTGCTCTGTCTCCCCATAAATTGTGTTTTCACTTTATATGTTTGGAAATGCAAGATGCAAATGGCTAACTGGAGAAAGGATGATGCATTGGGTAACAAATGAGCTTTCAAAGAAGTTCACATTTAAAACAAATTTGGCTGTATTTTTTCAGGTTGACAATCTATACAAATATGTGCAAGTTGAAGTTTCTCACCATTTCTCTCTTATCACCTGCATAACATACACAATTCCATAGAACACCAACCCTGTGCTCAGCTTTTACTGAAGGACTTGCAATTGGTGCCCTTGCAGTAATGTACATCCTGCTTTGAATGTTTTTTTCCCCAAAGATTGGTTCCCTCTTTTAAGTTTCAAAAGTCACCTTATCAAAGGACATTTCTTACTTCATCCACCTGTCTCATTTTTATTTTTTTGCTCTGCTTTATTTTTCTTCATAACACATCCCTACTCACATCATATTTATTTGTATATTGTTTGTTCCTCCTCCTGAAACATAAACCACATCAGATAAGTTACTTTATCTGTTTTTCTCTGTTGTATACCACTGCCTAAAACAGTACGTAAAACATACAGTGTCTGCTCAATAAATATTAGTCAAACTAATGAAGATGAATTGGCCTCAGGAAACATGAATAAGTGAAACCTGGAACCCTCATAGACTTCCCTTGCAGCTTTTCTGTTCCTGCTGTCTGTTACCGTATTTTCAATCAAACCAAAGAGGTTGTAATGTCTGTCATAATTTTAGATCTTTTCATTAATATCTCTGCCTCCATCTAGGGGATAAACTCAAGGAAGAAATGGACATAGCTGTTGAGAAGAGATGGGGATTTTCTCATAAGCCATGCTACTTTTTTGACCTTAGAACCCACCACGATGAATCTCTGAGTCGGTCTCATCTCCCAGATCCTCAACTCAACTTTTCTCAGACTGTACTTAAGCACTTTTGTCAAAGTTGGAGTAGAGAAGGTAGGGTGATAAGAAAGAGCTCCTTTTGCTCTTTTCCACATGGATTGTCTCCCTTTTGATGGCCTCACAAGTCCCCAGATTTTCCTTTTGACATTGTTTCATACAGTATTTAAATCTATTTGTATACATGAAACTTATTTTAATGCCTGTCTTTCTGAATCCCTGACTCCATCCCTATGTCTCTGGTATGTTTCTATCTGTGATTATCGACTCCATATTAAAAATGGGACTGCTTGCACTTATTGCAGTACATGTGTCAAACTGATCCCTCAAAACTTCCTGACAAAAAATAGACCATTCTAGTTCTTCACTACCTGTTTCTTGATAGACAGATCAAAAAAGTCCCTCCATCCTAAGGGTTTCTCTCTCATGGCAAAACCTTTGGTGAGAGACACACATCAATGTCTGTCAATGAAACCACTGGAATATTGTCCCAATGTGAATATATTTCCAATTCAATCTATTCTATTGTCCACAGTAGGCAACCAGAATTCCCAAGGAACTGTAGAAGGGGTGCCTTTTTTTTTAAGGGATAAGAAGTATATAGACTTGAATATCAGGCACAATTGTGACAGTGAGAAAGTCATGTAATTACTTGGAAATAAGAGGCTAAAGTTTCAGGGTTAAACCAAAATTGGGAATGAGACAGCCATGTTGGAGGGGGTCCCCAGAGAAACTCCAACCAGCCTACCCACTGAGGTGGAGCCTTGGGAAGTTCATGACATTTGTAGCAGGGAGGAGCCTGGCCCCTCCTCTTCCTGTGTGGAATCTGGCATTCAAGCTACAGGCTGGAAGCACTGTAGCAGGGACGCTGGCCTAGTGAGAGTCCCTGTTTCCCCCTTTTCTTCATTTTCACCCAATAAAATCCTGTCTCACTCACCATTCAAATTGTCTGCAAGCCTGAGTTTTCATGGCTGTGGGACAAAGAACTCTGCCCTTAGCTGAACTAAGGAAAAGTCCTGCAACATTTTTGGCACCCAACATGGGGCTCAAGAAGCAGTGAGTGAAATGAGGACTCAGAACCTCTCACCTTCTGAGGACTTCTGAGGGTTGGGAATACATACCCCCAAACCCTGTGGCTCCCTGGGGTTGGGGGAAAGGCCCTTTCCTTCCTTTTTCAGGACAGGGGAGCAGGGGCTCCTTGCTCCCCCTCCCCTCCATGCTGGGGCTGGGACACATGGCTCAAGAGTCTCACACAGCCGGGTGGCTGGTTCCCATCCAGAAGCCACTGCAGCCTTTCCCTTCCCCACCCAAGGGGTTCAGCTCCATCAGGCAGTAATTAAACTTTTCTCTCTGGTGGAAGAACCACTTGCCTAAGAATAAGAGGATCTCCCCCAGGCATTTGAAAACTTTCTCTTTTTTCCTCTTCTCCACCCTGTCAGCAAGTTAACTTTTATAGTTTTTTGTTTTTCCTTTTAGAAGATGTTTTACTAGGCCAGCCCTGCACCTCCCCCCAATCCACCCACCAACTATGACTGTATTCTTTGCAAAGTTGTGGTTGTGAAATCAAGCCTCCATCTTGTTTTACATCTGGGGGGTGTGGCCAGTTACTGCCTGGCAAGGATTTGTTTAGCAACCCTACCTTAGGGGATGCCCCTCTCAGGTTAAGTAATCTACATGTTTTCCTAGCCCTGTCTCTTAAAAGGCCCTACCCAGCAACTGGGTTTTCTTCTGCCTGTCTGTGTGTACTATATGTGATGTCTGTAAAAATAACTCTAATTAATCTGGCCTAAAGAAAAGTGCTTGGATCTAACATTTTTTAAAGCTAAAAGCTGTGGTACCTTTCATTTCACATGACTTTAATCTTTAAGAAATAAAAACAGCCCTAAAGACTATTCGTAAAATGCAGGTCAGATGCAAAGTTTGCTAATTGTTTTGAGGTTACAAACTGCTTTTTGGGTTTTGAGAGCTATTTTACTTGTCAGCTACATCATTGGTAGGGTCTGGGGACATATGGAACTAACCACACCCTTAATTATGCTGGAGTCAAATCTTGGCTGCACTTATCACACAATTAAGGCAACTTACCAAGTTTTACCAAATTGCTAGAAGTTAATTGAAACTACTAGAAATAGATTTACATGCAAGGTGTGTAAGAACAGTAAAATGTGTTTTTTTAGTAAAAGGTTATAAGAAGGCATGGAAATGTAAACTTTTGCCTAGAGTTAAATGATTGTTTTGAGTTAAATTAGGAAAAAGCTAAAGGTTCAAAGAAGTGGTGGAAGAATTGTGGAAATTAATCTTGCAGAAGAAGGTCTCTATGTAAATATTTTTGCTAAATTCAAAAGGGTATTAAATGTTTTTTTCTGTAAATCGAGCATTGAAATAAAAACACAACAAGAAATTCTTAAAATGCTAATCTCTTTGGCAAAATTTATAAAGGTTTATAAAAGGTTTTTGGTTCTTTAAAATTTCTGAGTCATCATTTTGGCAAAATAAATAACTTACAGTAATCAGGAATTCTATTTCATAATATCAAGTGTTTTAAACCTTGAACATTTAACAGCCTTCCCAAAATCAAACTTCAGTTTTAAAATTGTCTTCCTCGACACCTGGGTTTGTGGAAAGTCCAGAGGGCCCCTGGAATGTCCAGAGAAAAAGAGGTAAACAGAATTATTTAACATATTTAGGTACATGGGATTGACAAAATGATCTTCTTTAGGTTAAGTTATATCTTGGTGAAGAATGCCAATATATGTTCCAAAATTGTATGGAGTTTCTAAAATTCTAATATCTGAGTATAGCTATCAATCATAATTAAGGTTTTTTGTTAAGTTATTGTAAATCACAGAGCTAATCAAACTTCTCTGTCAATCATGTTTCTAACTGTAACTACCCTGGATATTTTGCTATTCAAAAATTGTTGTTTTATTTTAATCCTTTTCAAAAGATGGTTTATAATAAGCTATAGAACTGTAACAGGTGCTCTCAAATACAGGTTTCTGATAACTTTGGAGACTGTGAAATTGGAATAAAGAAAAATATATAGGACTCATAAAGAGCTGAAATATTAATGAATACAAGCAAAACAAAAACTAAATGGACTAAACTTAGAAACTGAAGCAATCCTTTTAACCTTGTTTGGAATATTGCTGATCCTTGTTTTGTTTTTCAGAGTAAAGGAAACTTATTTTGAACTATTTTCAGACTTTAATAATTAAGTAAGGTATACACTCCTGTGATTAAAATTTAGAACATGTTTGTTTCTCTCTGCCTGGTTCCTCTAGAATTTGGAGAATATCTGTGAGTATTCTTAACTTATGGCAATGTAGTTGTTTGCATCAATGCAATAAAAATCCATTTTTCTTTTGCAAAAGGACACAATTGGAAAAATGGTTATTTTACCAAGGCTTTGACTGGAAGGGTATGTTTCCCTTTAAGGAGTAAAGCTTGACTTACAGAGCTGATAAAAGACCCGTGGGAGACTGGCCTCATACCCTCATCTACACAGTCCCTGTACAGGGTTCTTGACTTGTTGTCAGTAAGAATGTCACTTTCTAACAGGTCCAGGAGCTCCAAGTTTATTGTGGGACCTTAAGAGGAAAGGGTTACCCAACTCACAGCTGTTTGAGGATAAAAACTCATGGTTGGGCTTGGCTTTAAAAGGTCTTATCTGAGATTCCTTGTGGAACAAACTTCCATCAAAGCCAATCCAGAAGGCCTATATAGAAATAATTATTCTTAATACACTTTATGCAAATAATCAGGCCAAGCATAAAACTAAAGTCTATTTTGCAAAGAGCTCAGTCCTATTATACATTGTTTTTTTAACAAAAATGAGGACTGAAAAGAGAGAAATTATGTACCAAAACTTGCATATATTTTAATTAAATTCTAAACTCACTACTTGTTTTTAAGTTTATGCCTACATTTTAAACTTACCCTGCTTGTTCCTATGAAACTACCAGCAATCTCTGGCTGCAGCTCAGAAAGAACAAGAGGGATAGGTAATGTAGAAATCCAGGTCAATATTCTATTTCTGAGCAATTATCCTGCAAATCCTGCCAGGTGATGGGAATAAATAGGATGCTCATCACTTGGAGATTTCCTTTTGGGAAAGTAAAACCAAGGGAGCTAACCAAAACCAAGCACCAGGCACCCAAATCCCAGCAAGCATAACTATAGCCGCCAGGTATCTGAGTGTGTCACAAGACATCCTTTCCTTTCCTTTGTTGGAGTAGGACTCAGTTCCACAGTTTCAACTTAGCATTTGGCTTATGATAAAGGGTCCATGCAACCCCCTGCCCCCCACCCTGAGACACATTTTTGTCCCAGACTCAATTTCAAGCTTCAGGTCAAAGCCGTAGGAAAGAAAACTGGATATAAGGGATCCAGAGGCAGATGACAACAGAAGTTAAAAGGCACAGCACAGAGAAGCATAGCGGATTCCTACTGATTAAAACAACCCCAAGCTTTCTGTTTCATAGATAAAAGCCATGTTAGTATCCGTGGCATAAATGAGGTCTAGGGAACTCCGAGGCTACTGACAGTAGGTGGAAAAGAGACCTAGGTGAGAACAGATAATTCCTATTCTCTAGGCACCCTGCTTCATGGGTTCAAGCCGCTTTGGCACTCATGGCAGGACCTGCCAGTGTCACCAGAAATGGGGGATGCAAGGACGGAAGAGGGAAAAGAAGATACTCTTCCCTCTCTCCCTCATGTACCTTGGGTATCTGCTAGGAAGAGAAGCAAACTGGGGACATCTGATCCCCTCTTGCTAGATGGGTAGCCATTCATCTTCAGTCTGTATCCCTTTAAAGTGCATCCGGAACCCCTGGGACTTCTTTGAAAAAAATAAACACCTTCTTTTTTCCTCTCTCCTCCTAGGTTCTGTCTTCACTGATAGGTAATTGTGTATCTGTACTATGAGACACTCCCCTCAGATGCATCCTCCAAACTGGAAAGAGTTAATTTCTCAAAACTTAAACTGGTTGGCTTAGGACTGGGCTCAGGGGAAGGGAACCCAGAAGCCCAACATGCCAGCAAAAGGGTACAAGTTTTTTTTAACCAGTCAGGTTTTTGGCTTCCCTCTCCCTATGCAAACTGGTAAAAGGCCTCATAATTTTTGAGCTGTCCTTATGTCCCCTTTGTTTTGTTTTGATACGTGTTTTCTAATAATCTGGTTTGTCTGTTCTTGCCTTCAGGCCATCAAACTCCAAACAGTCATGCAACCAGAGCCTCTGACAATGGTCCCTTCTGCTGGGAACCTGTTGGTAGGCCTCTGGGGAAGCTCTGACTGTGGTTTCCCCAAAACAGTGCCCTCTGTCGGCAGGAAGCAGTTAAGATAGGTCTTCATCCTTACCCTTATTCGAAGGGCAGTTAGATGTACTTCTGTGCAGGCGGGAAAGAGACAGCCAGGTGGGAGGGTGTCCCTGGAGAAACTCTAACCAGCCTTCCCACTGAGGTGGAGCCTCGGGAAGTTAATGACATTTGCAGCAGGGAGGAGCCTGGTTTCTCCTCTTCCTGGGTGGAACCCGGGATCCAAGCTTTGGGCGGGAAGCACTCTAGCAGGAACACTGGCCTAGCGAGAGTCCCTGTTTTTCCCCTTTCTTCCTTTCCACCCAATAAAACTCTGTCTCACTCACCACCCAAATTGTCTGCGAGCCTGAATTTTCGTGATGGAACAAAGAACCCCACCTTTAGCTGAATTAAGGGAAAGTCCTGTAACAGGAACACATTATGTATATGCTTTCTTAGTATCCTAAAGGTATTCTGCAGAGCAGGACAACACAGTTGGGACTCTGTTTTTCTTTGTTTTTAAATAAATACTTAAGCAACCTAGTTTTGTTTGGTCCTCAGAGTAACTCTACTAAATCTATTACCATTAAGTAAAATGGTTTTATTTGCTGAACTATGATTATCTAAGCTTGGTGCTATCAATTGAATTTGCTGAGGAAAAATTCACCAAATACATTTTACTCCATTATATTAACTTTTATTCCCCCTGGCCACCTGTTTCATAAGCCTGGACATATTTTCCTTTTCTTTACTTAAGACATGTATCAAATCTACATCTATTTAAGTGAATTTGAATTATGAAGTTTGTTAGATCAAAGATACATTACTTTGTTTTGATAGCATTTTAATGTTATATGAAAAAGGAGGAGAGTAGCATTGATTTTTGTTTTTCCTAATTCTTTTATGGGCAAATGCTTATGAGATGAAAAGGGCCTCTCATCAAAACCCATGACTATTTCACTTCAGAAAGAAACACAGTCATCTCCAGGTTACCAAAGGTCAGCAAAATCTACTCCAAAAATGCAAGTTACATGGTAAGCTAACAATGAAAAAGCCACAGCAACAAGGGTGGTGAGTTAGGGGGAGGGTGACAACAGAAACAGTATCAATGAACACAACTTCAATGGACGTGGAATTGACATTTTCTGGACTGCTAACCCTCACCCTCTTCCTCCACATCAGGAGCCCTGCAAATAGGATGCTGGGATCCACCTAGAATTTAATAAATATATCTATAAATTAATCTATTCTATTTATTGTCTACCTTGCTCCCAAGAAGAATGAGAGTGTTCAACATTTTTTTTTTAATTAGAGGAAATTAGAAGGAAGAACAAATGAGGGTAGAAAAAAATGAAATCGGGGTGAGGTTAGTACATGAAATGCACACAATAAGATCTGTTGAATTTGATATAGATGTACCCCAATATTGTTTTCAAACCTCTCTAGAAGCCAAAGAAAAATGGGAAACACAATACATTATGCGATTCAATTGTCCACAAGATAAAGTCCAACTAGTTACTCAGTACTTTTCTGGGTACTGAGTGCTGAGAAAAATGTTTCCCATAAGACTTTGTGTAAAGTTACATATAATGTTCTCTCATAAGCAGAACTCATAAGTAAAGATAAAAAGTTTAAAAGGTTGTTTCTTATAATATGCTAATGATATGACGAATCATTGGAAGGAAATCTACTCATCACAAATAGGTGTCTCCTCTAGCCATTTTCACACAATGAGAGCGGAATGTACTGAGGTAGGAGAATAGGGTCTGGAGGCAGGAAGTTAAAGCCATTTCACTCTGACTTCCTAGAACTAAATTGAAAGGAAAACCCTAACTTTCCACAGCTAAGTAACAAAAGGACCAGAGGCTACTCCCTTTGCAAACCCCCTTATTTTCTGTGCAGCAGATGGAAAATTGAAAGTACCTCTGAGTGGTGGCTTTTTGCTTTTGCTCTTCTGCGTGGCCAACTTTTCTGCACAGCACCGGTTCTGCACGGCCACCTTTTCTGTGCAGCAGATGGGAAATTAAAAGTATCTCTGATTGGTTTGCTTTTTGCAATTGCATTTTGCAACCAATCTGGCATCTGTAATCCCAGCACTTTGGGAGGCTGCCGCTGGTGGATCACGAGGTCAGGAGATGGAGACCATCCTGGCTAATGTGGTGAAACCTCGTCTCTACTAAAAATACAAAAAATTAGCCAGGCGCTGTGGCATCTGCCTGTAGTCTTAGCAACTCGGGAGGCTGAGGCAGGACAATCACTTGAACCTGGGAGGTGGAAGTTGCAGTGAGCCAAGACTGCACCACTGCACTCCAGCCTGGGTGACAGAGGGAGAATCCATCTCAAAAAGAAAAGAAAAGAAAAAACAAAAACAAAAACAAAAAAGAGTGTAACATTGTAACTTCACTTCAGCCTCTAATCGGTTGTGGTTTGCAACCCATCAGACTGATTGCAGGCCAAGTCTTCTTTTGCATAGAACTGCAACTTTGTAACTTCATTTTGTAACTTCACTTCAGATGTTTGCATAGGAGTGTGACCTTTGTAACTTCACTTCAGCCTCTAATTGTTTGCTTTCCACAACCAGGCTGATTGCAGACCACCACTTCATTTACACGGGGTGAACAGCAAGTGGCCAATGGGAAACCTCTAGGGTGTATTTGGACCCAGAAAGATTCTGTATTCGGGTCCTTGAGTGGTTGCTCCACTGGTCCCACCCTGTGGAGTGTCTTTCATTTTCAAAAAATCTCTGCTTTTGTTGCTCCATTCTTTTCTTGCTTTATTTGTGCATTTTTGTCCAATTCTTTGTTCAAAACACCAAGAATCTGAAAACCCTCCCCTGGTAACAGTACTAGATAGTATATTCTTTTCCCACAGAGCTCTTGGAAATATTAAACAGCTCTACTTCAGAGAACACCCCTTGAGAAGTTTTAGAAATGTAGATATTCCCATGCTGCTTGTTATATTTGAACACCTGTATTTTAACATAGAGTCACACTGCAGTCAAGTTTAACAACCAGTTTTTACTGGTGAGGGTGCTGATGATGAAACATTTATTATATATGCATAACTTTTTGGTATAGCACTTTATTTAAACTTGTAAAACCAATGGGATTTGTTAAAAGTGACTTAATTATATACTAAAAATAAATAATTGACTGATTTTACTGGATAGTTAAATCAAACCTCACCCATGATTATAAACATATCAGATAATGTGAGTTTACCTTTGTATACTAAACCTGCTTCACAAGGAGAGTTTGTAAATGTCATCTAGCCATGATTAACTAGGTCAGTATGTCATTCCTGCTCTTGAAAAGCAGTCATGTACTCTCCTTTTCTATTGAATCTGTATATGTGTCTCCACAGGATTGAGAATCCATTGTATTTACTCGATATTCAGTTACAATATTACCAGGTCAACTAGTCCCTTTTCACATTGCTAAAGAAAGGAGGTTTAATTGAATCACAGTTCCACAAGGCTGGGGAGGGCTCAGGAAACCTACAATCACGGTGGAAGGCAAAGGGGAAGCAGGCACATATTCACATGGCCAGCAGGAGAGAGAGAGAGCAAATTGGGAAGTGCTACACACTTTCAAACAACCAGATCTCATGACAGCTCACTCACTATCAGGAGAACAGCAAGGGAAAATCCACCCCCATGATCCAGTCACTTCCCACTAGGTCGCTTCCTTGACACACGGGAATTGCAATTCAAGATGGGATTTGGGTGGGGACACAGAGCCAAATCATATCATTCTGCTGTTGGTCCATCCCAAATCTCATGTCCTTCTCACATTTCAAAACACAATCATGCTTTCCCAACAGCCCACCAAAGTCTTAACTCATTCCTGCATTAATCCAAAAGTCTTTTGTTCCCAAAAGTCTCATCTGAGATAACACAAGTTCCTTCTGCCTATTAGCCTGTAAAATCAAAAGCAAGTTAGTTACTTCCAAGATACAATGAGGGTACAGGCATTGGTTAAATGCTCCCATTCCAAATGAGATAAATGGGCCAAAACAAAGGGGCTACATGCCCCATGCAAGTCTGGAACTCAACAGGGCAGTCATTAAATTTTAAAGCTTGAAAATAATCTTGTTTGACTCCATGTCTCACATCCAGGCCATGCTGATGCAAAAGCTGGGATCCTAAGGCCTTTGGCAGCTCCCCCACTATGGCTCTGAAGGGTACCACCCCTGTGGCTGCTTTCATGAACTGGTATTGAGTGTCTCTGTCTTTTCCAGCTGCATGCTGCAAGCTGTTGGTGGATTTACCATTCTGGGGTCTGGAGGACAATAGCCTTCTTCTCACAGCTCCAATAGGCAGTGCCCCAGTAAGGACTCTGTGTGGGGGCTCCAATCCCACATTTTCCCTCTTTATTGCCCTAGTAAAAGTTCACCATGAGGTCTCTGCCCCTGCAACAGACTTCTGCCTGGCCACCTAGGTGTTTCCCTACATCTTCTGAAATCTAGGTGGAGGTTCCTAAACCTTTGCCTTCTGTGCACCCCCAGGCCCAACACCACATGGAAGCCACCAAAGCATGGGGCTTGAACCCTCTGATGCAGTGGCCCAAGCTTTACCTTGGCCCCTTTAGCCATGACTGAAGCTGGAATGCTGAGACACAGGTTGCTGTGGCCCAAGGCTGCACAGAGCAGCTGGGCCCACAGCCTGGCCCATAAAACCATTTTTCCCTCGTAGTCCTCTGGGCATGTGATGGGAAGAGCTGCCTCGAAGAGCTCTGAAATGCCCTGGAGACATTTTTCCCATTGTGTTGGCTATTAACATTTGGCTCCTTGTTACTTATGCACATTTCTGCAGGTGGCTTGGGCTTAAATTCCTCCCCCCCAAAATAGTTTCTTTTTTCTATACATGGTCAGGCTGCAAGTTTTCCAAACGTTTACACTCTGCTTCCCTTTTAAACATAAGTTCCAATTTTAGACCATCTCTGTGAACACATAGGACTGTACGTTTTCAGAAAAAGCCCGGTCACATCTCTAATGCCTTACTGCTTAGAAATGTCTTCGACCAGATACCTTAAATCATCTCTCTCAAGTGCAAATTTCCACAGATCTCTAGGGTGGGGGCAAAATGCCACCAGTCTCTTTGCTAAAGTATAGCAAGAGTGAACTTTGCTCCAGTTCCCAATAAGCTCCTCATCTCCATTTGAGACCACCTCAGCCTGGATTTCATTGTCCATATCACTATCAGCATTTGATCAAAAACATTCAGCAAGTCTACAGGAAGTTCCAAACTTTCCCACATCTTCCTGTCTTCTTCTGAGCCCTCTAAACTGTTCCAACCTCTGCCTGTTTCCCAGTTCCAAAGTTGCTTCCACATTTTCAGGTATCTTTATAGCAATGTCCCACTTCTCTACATACCAACTTTCTGTGTTAGTCCATTTTCACACTGCTATAAAGAACTACCTGAGATTGGATAATTTATAAAGAAAAGAGATTTAATTGACTCACAGCTCTGCATTGCTTGGGAGTCCTCAGGAAACTTATAATCATGGTAGAAGGCAAAGGGGAAGCAAGACGTGTCTTACATAGCAGCAGGAGAGAGAGCGAGGTGCGAGACTGCCAAACACTTTTAGACCATCAGATCTCATGAGAA
The DNA here is from genome assembly GCF_000001405.40 of Homo sapiens. Taxonomy (NCBI): domain Eukaryota; kingdom Metazoa; phylum Chordata; class Mammalia; order Primates; family Hominidae; genus Homo; species Homo sapiens. The sequence goes on from NC_000003.12 coordinate 87,151,308, forward strand.
CTCACTATCACGAGAACAGCATGAAGGAAAACACCCCCATGATTCAGTCACCTCCTACTAGGTCCCTCTCTCAACATGTCGGGATTACAATTTGAGATGAGATTTAGGTGGGGACACAGAGCCAAACCATATCAACAGGGTCCTGTAGTTTTGGGGGTGACTCAAGATAAACTACCTCTGTACTTTTGTTCTCTTGCTCTTCTCCTTTTACAGTCTATCTCTTCTGCAGTTGCACATTCTGGACAGTATGATACATTTCTAATGAGCCTGTTTCCTCCTTTTGAGTTTCTCTGTCTGTGCCTTTGGTCTCTGTAATACTGTCATTACTTTCCTTGCCCTTCTGGTGCCTCCTGTTCTGGTACTAGTGCCTCTCTCTGTGGCTACGTTCCCCCAAGAAACAAGCAGCAAGGTATTGTTCCCACTCAGTGATCTGACCCTTTCCATACTGTTCTCCACCTTCCCTATTCAGACCTTTTCCATGTTTGAATTGCAGGGGATTCTCAATCATGGATAATTCAGTGTTCATAGAAAAAGCCTATGAATTCTTAGTGAGAGCCACCAAATCTCTTCCTGGGAGTTGGGAATCCAAACAACTCTCTACACATGATACTTTCATTTTCCATTCATTTGAAGTGCTCAGGTCACAGCTATGAGATAAAATCAAAGTGGCTCTCTGTCCCTAGGGCTGTGCAGACATCAGACAAACTTTGATACTTGACATCAACTTGATGTGTGTTATACATGCATCTTAATACTTTCAAAGAGTGAATGCTCAAAAACACACGGGAATAGGGAAGATGCTTTATATAAATTCCTCTCAAGGTAGCAGATTTTTCACCCGCCAGCCTGGCAAATAAATTAACATCAGTAATAGTAGAGTCAGGAAAAACATTCCCACATCTGAGGTTACCTGAGGTCAACTTTATTTTCCCCAAATAACCATGACAACAAATATACGTATTTCCAAAGCTTCTCTCTCCATCAGTACTGGCATACCTGTTTTCATTTTAAGATGAAGACAGCCTTCGAAGTAAACAAGTCTTTTAAACAAACTGAGAAAACAAGTGAATTAATATGACACTTTCTCAAACATATAGGAAAATATTTTTCTATTTTTACTATTATCATTAATCACATATATTTGTCATCCACTACACAGAATATCCTACTACTATGTGCTGTCAGAGAGGGAAAAAAATTGGACCACTCTCTCCCATTATTTCAATTCTGAGCAAAGTTTTCATAAGGAATGTCACTCCTTGAGAGCCAGACAGGCACGTTTGCTTAGTGCCTTCACATGCTCAGATCACATGGGTACTAATTAGTTTATTGAAAGGAGAGTAATTCTATGGATGGAGCTATCTTCCCTCAAATAATTAATTGCAGCTCCCAAAAGTGTCTGGCACCCCAAGGAGCAGCTCACCTCCTTGGAAAAGCTATATCGTATAATCAGGATAAAACCTTATAAAACAATTTAGAGGGATATGGTAATATCATCCCATCAAAAAGCTGAAACCTGCACAAAGAGACAATTCAACCCATTATTTTCTTTTGTAAACAACATCCAAAATTCGTAGCTGAGGTAAAGGATGAAATTTTTTTTTAAAGTGATTATTATGAACAACATCTAACACACATGGTATATTTTCTTGTAATTGCTTTACAAATAGTAACCTCATTCTTACAAATTCCCATTAGGTTGGTGCATCATTATTTTCTCCATTTTACAGATTAGGAAAGCAAGGCAGAGGTTAAGTAAATTATCTACATAATCATCGAAGAATACACTATTAATGAATGGCAATGTTAAATTTGAACTTGGCTGGATTCTGAATCTGTGCTCTTGACCACTACCATATAATACTAACTTCAAAACAGAAAATCAGAAATACCTACTAGATATAACCTGCACCTGATTCTGAACATAACATTGTGTTACTAATGTCTTTTGATCTTTACAGAATTAGGAAGTATCAGTGATTAGTAGTAATAATAGTTCAGTTTATTGAGTGCCTACTAGAGTTGAGTATTTCGTATACATCATGTATTACTCCAATTATAATTTTTCAAAGTGGTCAGGTGATCTACCCATGTACACATAAAGAACTTTAGAAAAGTTGAAACACTTGCTTAAGGTTTCATAGTCACTGTATTTACAGCCAGGTGGCTCTGAATTCAAATATTATATATATTCCACTCTAGGATCCTTTTTACTTAAGCAAATTTTATAAAAAGAATAATTAAGGTCCATAGTTCACCTAAGTCTTAATAGAATGCCACCAGTATCTATTTTTCAAATGGATTTGGAAATAAACATGATGCAACAAGAAGAAAGAGAATGAAAAACAGGGTGAAGATTTTAGTTTAAAGTTGCATTAAACTTTAGTCAGCATGGAACAGTGAAATGGGTAAATAGAAATTGACCCACCACTCTCATTTTATCTAATGTCACATTTCTTTAAGAATAACTTCCAGATGCTGGCCTGGGTGTACATTTTCCTATTTCTGGCAAAGAAAACTCTTGCATTTTGCCAGCCTGAGAGAACAGAATCTATTAATCAGTGCCAGCCATGATTTGTTCTTTCAACATAAAAGCACAGTCCTTTTTCTTGGAATGTTTTTAGTTGCAATAATCTTTTACTTCACTTCTGTCTACAAGTGTGCACATTCATATTTATGCCATGAACTGTGTTAGAGTTTAGCACTGGTTTTTTAATTTAGTGAGTCAATTATCATAAATCAGTACATAGCAGATTCCTTCGGGAACGTAAGTAGTCCTTCTAAGGCAGTGGTTCTCAAACTTTGGTCTGTATTAGAACACCTAGAATGTTTGTGAAGCACACAGAGGCAGGCTTGTTGAAGTAAAATAGGGCCCAAATCTTTGTATTTTTATCAAGTTGCTAAGTGCTTCAGACACCAAGAAAAGTTTGAGAACCGCTGTTCTACGACTTATTTCAGCTCTTCCCATTTTTGGGTCTCAAAGCTGAGCTCATGAAGCTTTCCAGATTCAAGTCTTCCTTTCTTACCTAGGTCCTGAGCTGGAACGATGGAATCTAGCAGAAGTTGCCTTTCCAGATTCAAACGGCTTCTATGTGAGTTCCTGAATCATAACTTCTTCCTGTCCATGTGCCCAGTTCCCAGGCTAGGCTAAGGTTCTTACTTCTTTAGTACTCTCTTCAGTAACCTAGACATGAGGCTTTTCTCCACAATGCGAGCTCTGCAACCAGAGTTACACTTTCTTCTGGCTAGTCTCTCTGCCTGGTTCCTGAAATATATCCACTGAAATTTATTTCCATCTGAATACCTTTTAAGCAATTTATCCATTCCACTTGATTTTTGAATGCCACCTGTAAAGCAGTGTTCTCAAACTTTGGTTGATGTGGTAAGTAACCTTTAAGATGACCTCAATGATTCACTTGTTTTAGAAGTCACACCTTTGTGTAATTCCTTCATATTGAGTGTGAACTGGACTTGTGGAGTCAGTTCTGATTTATAGAAAATGACAGCAGTACTAAGATGTTAGGAAGTTATGAAAAGACCATGGCTTTCACCTTGGCAATATTTCTCATCCAATCTCTTGAATTACTTACTCAAAAACATATGACAGCCATGTCAAGAGGCAGGCCTATGGAAAAGCCCACCTGGTAAGAGACCAACTGCCGTAAACCAAGTAGTTGAAAAAAATAAGATAAGCCTTACCTGAGCATAGAAATCTCATTGGACTACTTAGGCAGGAATCAGGATTAACAGGTTCAATAAGGAATACTCACTTCTTGCTCTCATTTTATGAAAGGACATGTCTACACAAGCAAACCGTATTAAAAAGTACAGCAACTACCCACAAAACAAATTGTTAGAAGAAATAAAACTTTTGTGTGTGTAAAAATTTGCTATATGCATCTACTGAGCCATCTTTTGGCTTGTTCTAAAATATATGTTGCCAACTTCCTGATTTCAGGAGAAGGGATTTGTTATTTACGGGCAAGGGATAGAGAATAAGAATAGTGAAACTGTCTTCTAAGGAGTTATTTAATTTTGTTGGAGCTTATGTGTCTTGGAACAAGAGAGTAATGTTAAAACCATAACCACACAGAAAGGGCTTTAGAATAAAAATAAAGTATAACATATTGGGAAGTATAATGATTGAGCCACAAATTTACCAAAACAGAAAAAGAAGTTCCAACATTGTGATGATATTACACATTGCCATCTTGGTTATTCCAAAAAAAATTCTTGCATTTTTGCATTTTTTTCTGTGAATACAACTTTTTAATCAAGTAATCTCCAACTCCCCCAAAAACTTTGTAATTTTTAGGCTAATATATTTTAATTTTTGTACTCTATTACAGGTTTATTTCTAAAATGTCTTTTTCTAACATTCAGATATTTAGCAATAGGGCAGTCTTTTCAGTATAAGACTAGTCAGATTTATATTATTATTTATTTGTGTCTATATATGTAAAAGGAAATTTTATGTGCATAAAATTTCCCATTTCCTGACAATCTCATGTGTCTTCTTGAGGACTGACAGCAGAACAATTTCTTCTAGGTCCTCCCTAATTCTGAATATCAGGATACTTCAAGAATTCATCTACTTCAATATTGCAGATGTATCCAAGATGAAATTGTGACAAAATCCTTTTTTGAGTCAGTGAACAACTTCAAAAGAGAAAATGAGAAATTTTGAAAACTGTTTTAACTTATTTAATTCACAAGAGCACTGTGTAGCACCTATAACCTCACCAGTCTTGTAAAAGTTGGTTTGTAAGTCCATAGTGGTTAGTTCTACATTCAGCGAGTGGCTTAAAATTTATGCCAATGGGATGATGCCATGAACACTGTTTTATAATCCATTTTCTTTTTTTTAAATGGAAATATGCAATATCTTTCCATGTCACTAAATATATGGTATTTTATCACCTAGATGTCTTATTATTTATTTAAGCAATATCCTGGTATTGAACATTTAGGTTGCTATTTTTCCATGTGATAAACTCCAGTAAACATTCTCATTGATACATTTTTGTGCATATCCAAGATTATCTCTTTAAAGTAAATTCCTGGAAGTGGAATTGGTAAGCCAAATACAGGAACATTGCTAAGGCATTGACATGTATTGCCAAATGACCTTCCAGGAAGCTTTTGAACACTTTAGATTCCCACCAGCAGTGGAAAAGAATGCTCATTTTCTCATACATTCACCAGTGGTGTTTTTTTTGTTGAGGCTGTATGTTTGTTTGTTTGTTTTAATTTTGGTTAATTTTATAGTAGCAAATGTAACCTAATTGCTATTTGTTAGTATCTCTTGGATTTTCTGCGATGCTAAGCACTTAAACATTTCTAGTGGCTTCATAATATTATTGGGATGTATCAAAATGACTCAATAATTCCCCATTTTTTACTTTGAATTGCTTCTAAATAATGAATAATGTGGCAAGTAACCTTTTGCATATGACTAAAATTTATGTTTCTGTTTATCTTCAGGGTGGATTCACACAAAAGAAATTAGTAGAAGAAAGAATTTTGCTAAATTTCTTTTCAGAAAGACTTTACTCATTTATCAGCAATAAATAGTATCTGTTATGAGTTAAATTGTGTCTCCAAAAAGATATGCTGGGGTAATAGCCACTGGGAACTTTGAATGTAATCTTATTTGGAAATAGGGTCTTTGCTAATATTATCAAATTAAGATGAAGTCATATCAAATTAAGTATGACTGTCCTTATAAGAGGAGAAGAGACACAGACACAGAGGAAAGACTGCCATATGAAGATGGGGCAAGGATTGGAGTTACATTGCTACAAGCCAAGGAATGCCTGGCACTACCAGAAGCTGGAGGAGACAAGGGAGGATTAATGTCCTTTAGGAGCTTCAAAGGAAATATGTCCCTCTCAACAACTTGACTTCTAATGTTGTGATGGTTAATACTGAGTGTCAACTTGATTGGGTTGAAGGATACAAAGTATTGATCCTGGGTGTGTCTGTGCCAAAGGAGATTAACATTTGAGTCAGTGGGATGGAAAGGCAGACGCACCCTTAATCTGGGTGGGCAAAATCTAAGCTGCTAGCATGACTAGAATATAAGCAGGCAGAAAAATGTGAAAAAGAGAGACTGGCCTAGACTCCCAGCCTACGTCTTTATCCTGTGCTAGATGCATCCTGTCCTTGAACATCAGACTCTTAAGTCCTTCAATTTTGGAACTCACACTGGCTCTCCTTGCTCCTCAGCCTGCAGACAGCCTATTGTGGGACCTTGTGATCATGTGAGTTAATACTTAATGAACTTAATAATAAATTAATATTTATATATTAATACATAATGGAATATATATTCCATTAGTTCTATCCCTCTACAGAATCCTATTAGAATGTCAAACTCTTAAAAACATTGTTTTTTTTTTTTTTTTTTAGAGACGGTCTTGTTCTGTCACCCAGGTTTGAATGCAGTGGCATGATCATAACTAAATGCAACCTCAAACTCCCCAGCTCAAGAGATCCTTCCACTTCAGCCTCCCGAGTAGCTAGGACTACAGTCATGCGCCACCACAGCCAGCTAAATTTATTTTTTTGTAAAGACAGTCTTTCAATGTTGCCCAGACTGGTCTCAAACTCTTTGTCCCAAGTGACTCTCCTGCCTCGACCTCCCAAAGTGTTGGGATTACAGGCGTGAGCCACCATGTTAAATGAGAAAATAAATTTACGCAGTTTTAAGCCATCCAGCTTGTGATACGTTGTTATGGGAGCCCTAGGAAATTAATACACCATTATTTTCAAAGTGCTGCTAATTTATAAGACAACATTGGTTTTTAATTGTTCTGATTTTCAAAAATATCTGCTGACTTAAAATATGAAGATTGTATTCAAGTGTTCTGATTTTCATTGAAGTTAAAAATTTGTCTTAAATACTAGACATTTACTTCTATCAATTTTCTCACAATGTTTTTATACCTTTTTCTCAGTTATTGTAACATTAGTGTTCTTTTTAATCAATATATTATGAATGTCACTTTTTATCCATCACATTAATTACAAATGTTTTTCTCTAGTTTTTGGTTTCCTATAACTTACTTCCTAAATATATAAAATAAACAGAAATAATTTTATGTGTGTAGAATATTTTTACTTAAGAAGAATAGATTGTCAAATTACAACCACCATCACCACCACCACCAACATGAGATTCTCTTGGAAATATATCAAAATATTATCAAAAGTCTTAAAAGTCTGTCTTTTAGAAGCAAAAAGGAATAAAAACAGTGCATATGTAGTTTTAATGTTATGAATGACAGGTTAGGGATAGAGAATATTTTTATTCGTCACTGAATATTACATTTTTAGGGAGAATATTTATTTCTCTCTAATGAGTAACATGAAGGCAAATTGTTACCAAATATGGCAGAATGCAAAATTATGTAATTAAAAATAAGGTCTAGAAAAACTAGCATTATTTTTAAGGAAACAGAAAGAAGGAAAGAAGAAAAGATAGAAAAGAAGAAAGAGAGAGAGGAAGGAAGAGAGAAAAAAGCTGTGGAAAACTTTGAAGGAACAAAAGCAATCAGAATATTTTTAGATAACTAAATAATGATGTCTTGTGAAGAAGGTAAAACATGTAAGATCTGCAGGAGTAATGGCTCTGTCAAAATCCCCATCCATGATAAAAGCAAGAGGCCATGATGATAATCACTGTGGGAACCTCTGAGATAAGAATTTATCTTCAAGAAGAGCAATAAAATGCTGACAAGCACAATTTAATTATGATGGAGTAGGTCCTGAATGACTGTAAATCTACCACTGGGGTCCGTATGAAAATTAAGATGCAGGAGTATATGTTTCAATTTATAGGATTCTTTTTTGGACTGCTTATAAATCAAAAAAATAGCAGAAATTTCAAGGACAAAACACATGCTCTACTCATTTTCTGAGGCCTTCTTGGGTGGGTCAGGTTTTTTCCTTGATTCTATTAAGTCAGTAAGCCAGAATTCTAGTGCTTATCTTTTTCTATTCCTTGTTATGTCCATAATCACAAGGTCTAATAAATACACATAATGAAATGATATGGTATGAACTCCTAAGATTAAATTGCAAAATCTATGAATAAGAAATCAAGTAGGATCTTACAAACTTACTTAATAAATAGACCTTAACATGGAAAATGATACATAAACAACAACTGAGCTTGTTCAGTGGTTATGAATAACCATAAGAATGTTTATTCTGTTATATTACAAATTTACTTAACTTTTGCAATCATAAGAAGTAGGCTTTCTTATGCCTCCCTTTTAGCCAATAAAAATTGATTTTCCTTGATTTAATGAAAATTTAAAAACAATGAATATGGGAGGCCAAGGAATGTGGATCACTTGAGGCCAGAAGTTCAAGACCAGCCTTGCCAAGACTGAAACCCCATCTCTACTAAAAAATAGAAAAAATTAGCTGGTTGTGGTGGTGCACACCTGCAGTCCCAGCTACTTGGGAGGCAGAGGCATGAGAACAATTTGAACCCAGTGGGTAGAGGTTGCAGTGAGCCAAGACTGCTCCACTGCACTCCAACCTGGGCAAAAGAACAAGTATCTGTCTCAAAAATATATATATAAATAAATAATAAAGATAAAAATGCCACATTGAATAATTTTTCCCCCCATGAAAAGAAAAATGTTAAGTATAAACCCAATTATAGCCAATGACTTTTCTTATGTTACATTTGAGATGAATTGCTTGAACATGCATATTATGATGTTTCAATTTGGGTAAATATTATGAAAATGGGAACCTAGTCCTAATTCTCATTTCTCACTCCTTTGAAATCTTGTGAATAGCCTTTATGGTAATGAAATAACTGTGTGACAAAAGGGTGGAAATAAAAACAAGGCTGGAAAATTTAAGGTATACAGAAGACTCAAATTGGGATGGCCACCTAGCTCACAACAAACTGAGAATTTGATCTTGCTTCCCAATTTCATCTCAACATGCTGGCTTGATGTAATGTGATCCTCTATTTGTGAGCATGGTGATAAGTCTAAGGCAATAGTTCTCAATCAGGGAACTGGCTGATCCCTGGGTACCTGGGGGACATTTGACAATTTCTAGGGATAGTTTTGGTTGCACAATTTGGGGTAAGAGGGTTGCCACTGGCATCTAGTGGGTAGAGGCCAGGGATGCTGCTAACCCCCCTACAATACACAGGACACAACCACCTACAACACACAATTATCTCACCCAGAATGTCAATTGTGCTCAATAGTGCTGATGTGAGAAACCCTGGCCTAAAGACAAATGAAGCAAAGGCAACCACAGTTCTTTCTCAAGACTTTGTTGGGTTTTGTTTTTGTGTTTATGTATGTAAAAGCTGGAGAACAAAGCTCAGTCTCCCTGTGTGATAAAGCTTGGAAAATGGTGTCTAGAAACTGCCTCACAAAGGTGGCAGCAGATGAGGCTGAAGTCACCACACAAAAGAAGCAAAGCTGGAGGAAATACCAGAGTCCTGGTGGCTTTCAATTTAATCTCTGATTGCATTGTCTCCAGTTACAATTTGGCTTCTCCCAGTTATGGATTGTAACTAGTTATGGATTCTATAACCCAGTTATGAAAGTTATATCCCGACAAACGGATATTGCTGTTTGTCTAAAATGCCAAATTGCCTAAATTTACTATTATGGCATCGTGCTCTCCTTTACAACTTCTTCCCAGTGTACCCAGTGTACAGAGAAGTTCAGGTGAGATGCTGCCCTGAAACCTGCAGTATCTAGAGTGGACTTGTGTGCCCCCTGTGTTTACTCTCACCAAGGGGAGCTCTTATGCTGATTGGCCAGCGAATACAAGCTTTTAAAACATTCTACTGCCTAAACCTGTGTAGTGTAAGGCTGCCTCGGAGAAGCAAGGGGAGTCCATTGTCAGGAAGGAACAATTGTCAAGGAAACTATGTGTTTCAGTAATGCTCTGCCATGCTGGCTCCAGACCCTCTGAGTCATTAGTTATTTTTAACCCCTAATAATGAAGGCTTTTGGTTCCAGCCCCTGCCCCTTCCGAGGTGCAAGATGACCCCAGAAGGATTAAGTCTGAACCAACCCCCTTCTAGCCCCCCTACCCTACACACACACAGACACAGACACACACACACACACACACACACACACTTTCTTCTCTTCTGACAATGCTAGGGACAGACCACAAGTCCCTCATCCCTCAGTTCTCCTGAAGTATTTATATATCTGTGTTTGTGCTGTGAATGGAGAGGAGGAGAGGGGAGGAGGTAAGCTGGAGTGGTATTTTCCCTTCTAGCTCTGAGGATTCATCTTAAGGTTTGTCATACAAAGTGAATGGCCTCAGCATCCTCAGGACTCTGAATACCACGATTCCTGGCTGTTTTGCTAAGGCAAACAAAAGACCTTTTTACACATTCACCCTAGGGCAAGTTTGCCAGTCTAGATAGGCATAAATAATAAAGAACATAATGATCTGCTGAAAAGTGAAGGATCTGGCCTCATGCAGAGAGCAGTTTCTTTCCCTGAACAAGTGAAAATCAATTACTTTCTGATAGAACTTTCCTTTGATAAGATGCTCTCATCATAGAAGTCCCTATCTCAATACCATTTCACATTGTACGCAGGTAGATAAATCATTAATCAACCTTCTCAACGGCTCTTTCTTCTAAGTTGGATTTTGTCATTTTTGTGATGCAGAGAGAGTATTTTCAATAGCATGTTTAAAGCAGTAATACCACATTGCTAGTCCTGGAGATTTATGACTAAGGGAAAACAATACTCCAAGGACCTTCACCTACTATCCACCCCTCCTCCCTTTATCCTCCCTCTCTTCCATTATACTTCCTTTTCAAGTTGATAACCCTAAAGAACCACGTTATACAAGGCCATCTGCTGTTCAGATATTATTTAATTTTTAGATTTCTTCTAAAAGTTAAATGACAATCCTCTTATTTCCAGAGTAATTGGATTTAATGTACAATTAGAATAAAAATACCTATTACCCGTCAATGAATAAGAAGTTATAGTTTCTCTTTTCTTCAGCACTTTCTCTGCCCCAAAATGAAAAAAAAAAAAAGAAGAAAATGGCAAGGAAGATTTAATTTTACCTCAGCCTAGTCATTTTTCTGTGTTGCTTTTCTTTTAATTACTCTCATTTAATTTTTTTCAATTACCAGGATAGATATTAATTTGACATAGTTAAATTCTCATATCTTTGATAAAATGCACTATGCTTGAAAATTTTTGGTATGGCAGAACTTTCTGATTCAAGTTCATTAGTAGCAAGAAACTCTTACATGCCATAAGCACCACTTCTTTTAAAAACCGTGTTTGAATCTTGCTCAAGTTATTAAGCCCTATATTTCCATTCAGCAGATATAAAAAGAGTGCTAACGTGAAAGCATTGTTGAACTAGTTTCCAAGGCAAAGCAAATTTTACAACACACAGAGCTATTTCCATCTTTGACAAATGGAAATTTGTGTGACAAAGTATTGTTTTATACTTTTCTCAATCCATATCCATAAGAACTCACTACCTGTGGGAGTTAAAAGTCAAATTATATGACAAATGTGCTTGAGAGCTAGAGGTGCTTAGTGGCCCTGAGTGACACTGTTCTAGAATTGATAATGTCGATAAATAACATCTATATTAATAGAGGTCCTTGCCTCAGTTTTCTTATGCATAAAATAGAACTTGCTATATATTTTGAAAACAGGAATTAAATATTTAACATAATTCCTTCTTTCGATCTACATATATATGCATATAAAGCTTTAGGGCTATCTACATACATGTACACAGGTTTGCTTTTCTAATGTCATTGTATAATATTCAATCCTAAATGTATTTTATAGCATCCTCATACTCTATCAAAATCCATTTTAACTTCCCTAACCTGGACTATAAATCTCCTTTTCCTATATCCACAAGGCAATCTCAATTTTTAATGTTCTGCATGGTATTAAGTAAAAGTCAAATGGAAATTACAATATAATATGAAAGTTTAGAAATAAGTGATCAGTCAACCCCGTATCAAACCAGAAGGTCATTCATGTTTGTCTTATGTAGACTTCTGTGCTGTGCTCACCCTTTTCCCTTTGAAAGCTTCCTTTTTCTCTGCGGGTCTGTATCATTTTGTTGCCTCCTGGCTTCCTGGGACAAGAGAAGTCTCAAAAGTTTTGACCACTGTCCAATGAAGGACAGTAAAAGACTCTGAGACCTGCCTACTCTACATGTTCTCATTTTCCAGTATAAAGAAGAGAGATGAAAGAAATTGTAATAAGTTCGTTCCTAACAACTCATTTCAGTGGTTGTTGTTTTTTTTTTGCTTATTTTTACTTAATCATTATTTAATTTACAAGGGAAAATTTCAACTCCGTTTACGTGCTGCTATATTAGTCCGTTTTCATGCTGTTGATAAAGACAAACCTGAAACTGGGTAATTTATAAAGAAAAAGAGGTTTAATGTACTCACTCTTCCACATAGCTGGGTAAGCCTCACAATCACGGTGGAAGAGCAAGGGACGTCTTACATGGTGGCAGGAAAGAGAGAACATCTGCAGTGAAACTCCCTCTTATAAAACCATCAGATCTCGTGAGGCTTATTCACTGTCATAAGAAAAGCACGGGAAAGACCCACCCTCATGATTCAATTACTTCCCACTGGGTCCCTCCCGCAACATGTGGGGATTGTGGGAGCTACAATTCAAGATGAGATTTGGGTGGGGACACAGCCAAACCATACCACATGCATTTATTTTATGAAAACAGTGTTCTATAAAAATTTTTTAAACACTCAAGAATTTTATTTTAATTATCTTCATGGTACATTTTAAGTGGCAAAAATTCATAGAGGTAGAAGTGGAAGAGATGATGTATCTATTTACCTTGGCACTATTATGTATATTTTATGTATATATATTCTAACCACAATGTATATGTCTTAAATTTCAATTACTATAAAGTCAAAAATATGCAATTCTCACCATGTATTGTTAATCAAAAGATAATCCACAATAAGCCTAAACTGATAAGGAGAAAGCTAAGCTCACTATAACCTAACACATTCACAGACACACACAAACACATTTTGTAAAAAATTAAAGACCCTAGCCAGCTAAAGGTCAAGATGACTAATAAAACAAACTGTGCTTCCAGAAAATGGTAGTTCCGAAGATCGATAAGTATTTGTAGCAGGAGCTTTGTAAAGTAGTTTGGTAATCCTATTTCGAAGACTGGTAATTATCCTCCTCAATTCAACATATCTCCCTTAATTGTCCTTAACAGTAAGTATGTTGCCCTTAGGATACAAACAAATGAAATTCTATGGAGTTACTCTTTACTGGCCTACATGAATCAAATAAAGACTTCGATTTTTGGAGTTGAGGACAGTATTTTGAAAGCCGCAGATCTTAAGTCTTCACATTGGTCCATTCTGCTTCTGCCAATCTTCCTAAACTTAGTTTGCTTTATGGAAATGTTCTGGCTCCTTCCCCAAATCAAACTTACCAATTCTATGACTTATTTTTTTAATACCCTACTCTTTTATAGAAAAAAATAAATTCTTCTGAGAATACTAACTAACACTACTGGTATATCACATTACCCTTCCCAAGAGATAAACGTATGAGACACAAGTAACATTTATGACGACATTATTTTTTGGAGAAGACTTCAGTGTTATAATCAAAAGTATACATAGAATGGTAGGATTTTTACAAATAATAATAGGATAGTAAAAAGATATTTTGTGTGAAACGATCTATTTTTCCTCCTTAAATTATTTTATATAGACTGCAAATTATTTTATACTTATTTTTTGACTTGGCCACAGCATCCGTACAATAATAGATAATAGATGTCTGATGTTTTTGTAAAAATAACTTAATACAGATATACTTTTTGGAGAAGGATGCTTGCACCTAACTTATTTAGCAATTATTTCTTAGGTTTCAATTTAATATTAGTATCTTCCCTCTTGATCAAAAGCAACTAAATTTAAAGTGGAAATACCTTCATTTTATTCTAGGAAGAACATATGGACCAAAATTTTTTGAGATTTAATCTCAGCTCTTTTACTTGCTGACTTCATGACAAGATTCTTGACCTTAACCTTTCCAATGTTCTGTTTCAATAGGAAAAATCCATATAACTTTTAGGGTTGCTGTAAAAATTAGAATGAGTTCTTTTATGTGAATACATTTAAAAATCATGAAGATCATGAAAGTTATTATTTTTATTATTATAACCAAGGTTTTAATATTATGCCTATTGTATCATTAATCAGTTTTCTTGTTGTTGTTTCTGTGATATTTTTTATTTAGAAAAAAATTGACCTTCCCTAGCTAAATTCCTTTTTTTCCTGTAACTTTTTAAAATTAAACTTTTAATTCTGGGATAATCATAGAATTATATATCCTGTTCAGTGAAATGTCTGTTTATTGATTTTGGCTTTTTCTAATTGGATTGCTTTTACTGCTGAATTTTGAAAGTTCTTGTGTTTCACATACCAGTTTGTTTTTTTTTTTTTCAGTCTGGTGCTTCTCTTTTCATCCTTTTAAAGTGTCTTTCGTAGAGAAAATGTTTTAAATTTTGATGAGGTTCAATGTACCAATCTTTTTTTACAGTTTATGTTTGGGTATTAAATCTAAGATGACTCTGCCTAGCTATAGATCCCAGTAATTTTCATCTATTTTTTTTCTAGTGTTTTATACTTTTCAATTTTACATTTAGGCCCATGGCTAATTTTGATTTCATTTTTGGTAAAAGGTGTGATTTTTAGGTTGAGATTCATTTCCTTGCCTATGGATGTCCAATTTCTCCAGTATAATTTGTTGAGAAGTCTATCCTTACTTCATTGGATTCTTTTGCACCTTTGGTGCAAGTCAGTTTGGCATATTTTTGTCTGTCTTTTTCAGTGTTCTCTATTCTTTTTATGTATCTATGTGTCTATCCTTCTGTTAGTACCACACAGTCTGGCAATAAGCCTTATGTATTAGGTAGATTAATTTCTCCCACTTTATTCTTCTTTTTAAAGATGATTTTAGCTAATCTAGACCCTGTGCCTTTTCCATGTAAATTTTACAAAGAATTTGTCTAAATGTATACAAAACTGCTGAGATTGTTACAGGAATTCTATTAAATGTATAAATCTATTTGGGAATAATAGACATCTTTATTATGTTGAGCTGTCCAATCCATGAACATAGTATGTCTCTTTGATTTGTTACCATAAAAAATTTTTTTTTACTTTCCTTGGAGTAATTATAAATGACACTGTATTTTAATTTTAGCTTCCTCATAGTAATTGTAGAACAGAGAAATGTGTGTTGACTTTTTATTCTGCAACTTTGTGGAACTCACTTGTTAGTTCTAGGAGCATTTTTTATAGTTCCTTTGGAATTTTCAATGTAGACAAACATGGCATCTGTAAATAAAGACAATTTTATTTCTTCTGTTCTAATCTGTGTATTTTTTATTCCTTTTTCTTGCTTTATTGCCATGATTAGATGTTCCAGTACTAAGTTGAGAGAGAGGTGAAAATGAACAGCCTTATCTTATTCACAATTTCAGAAGAAAACATTCAGTCTTTCTGTTAATCTATACTTAGATATCCATGGAGAATAAATATAAGAGTTTCTGTGTTATTTTCATTTCTGAATTAAGTATCTAAAAGCAAGACTGAGCCCCAAAACAGACAAGTGCATAAAGTCATGGAAAATGTAGAAAACAAAAACTGCATAACACAAAGCCCTAGCCAGGAGTTAGGGAGGGTATCAAGGAGAGAAGGTATCAAGACAGGTAAATTATAAATATTTACTGGTTTGCTTAAAGGAGAGAATGAAAATGAATCTAAATGTATTAATGATATTCTGAGTTTAAATTTGAGGCTAGCAGGCAAATTATGATGCTCTTAAATGTGGTAGTTAAATGTTAAATAGAAAACTGTTTTATATGTATGTAATTCTGGAATTCTGTATATATGTATAATTTATTTCAACCCTCTATAATTTTAAAAATTTGCTATTTTTAACTTAAAACACCCTATCTATATGTATATATACAGCATTCTACAGTTACAAACATTTGTATTTACACATGCCCCATTTTATAGAACAGTGAGGATTAAAAAATATTTTCTATATCTCTTATGTGAAACTCCACAAAAAGATATTCAAATATAGTCCTGCCAAATTTTACATAAAAGATGTGGTGAAATGAGTATGAGAATGCTTCAGTAAAGATACATCAAATCAAAATTTACTAATAAAAATAACACATATTCTCAGACACACTATAGAGGGAAACACATTAGATATCCTTGAAGTTTACAGCTGATTAGATCTGAAAATTTGATCTTGATGGAGATTGGTGAAATGATTTACTCTGGCTCATTTGCAAATGTATGTAATTTTCAGAAATGTAAGTTATCCTTTTTGCTTTAAAGAAATGTATTTTTAGTGTAGTCAGAATATCCCGATGCATAAAGTAAAAAATTATGCATATGCGAAATGAGACAGTCTCGGTCTCCTAGTTTTCCATTTGAATTAGACAAATAGGGATCTAGTAGGTAACATGTCTCCTGAAAATATGGTTACATTTTATAAGAGTGATTAAGTGGTCCAGTGCTCAAAGAATGAGATAACATTTTGAAATCAGCTAAGAATTCAAAGAACCCAGAAAACGTTGATGAGTGCTTTTCGAAAAACCTTATGAATAGGTTAGTTTCAATTTTCTGATTTCTACACGGAAAAAAAGAGACTGCTACTGCCATCTGTTGGTCAAATAAAACATCGTCAGCTCTGGTCAACTGATTGCCTTGCTGTTAGGCAAAACCTTTGAAAGCAGGCAAAACCTTTGAAAGCGTGCAAAGGAGTTGTAGTAACCCCAGTTTAGCTATCTCTGGATAAACCAGATTCTGTTAGAATATCAACTAAATATCAAACAAAAGGCTACTGTTAAAATAAACTTTCTGCCCAGTGCATTGTTCTTTCCTAGTGTTTTCTGTTTAAGAAAGGGAGGATGTTCACATCTTGACACGAAGGGATCTGCAAAAACAATGTAGCTCAGAACTGAAGTATCTGTGGGTCATTATGTTTTCATGTGTGTGTATTTGTATGCATATGCTGTGTGGGGTGTGTGTGTGTGGATGCAGGCGTGGGTGCGAGAGAGCAAGAGAGACAGACAAAGGGACAGGGAGGCACACAGGGACCGAGACAGGGAGGCAGAGAAAGAGATAAGTGGAAGAAAGGGATGGAGGATAAGAACATATGTAGTAGATATTCTACCTATAAGGCACAAGCAGTTTGAAAACACCCTTTCCATCATTCTAATGAGAGCATTATCTTCAGAAAATGACCATTAGCCAGGAGGCCAGAATTGTTCCTTGTTACTCAAGGTGTAGACCCCAGCAAACTGTATCAGCAGCACCTGGCTGCTTGTTAAGAATGCAGAACATCAGAGTCAATTCTAAAGTCAGAATCTAATTTAGAAATAGGTTTTTTTTTCAGATTCTTAATCTGCATTTTTAAGCAGAACATCATAGTCAACCCCAAAGTCGGAATCTAATTTAGAAATTGATTTTTCAGATTCCTAATCTGCATTTTTAAAAGATCTTCAGATGCACTTAATATAAGCACACATATATATATATATATATATATATTCACTTATGCTTAAGAAGATGTTCTAGTTTGATTTCATCAATGCATTGAAACAGATTGTTTGGCATAATTGTCTATTACATTCATTGATTCAAAAATGCACATTTTAAATTTATATGTAACATTTTTGAAAGTGTGATGTGTACTATAATCTATAGTGTCAGATAATTTATTTAGTAATAGTGGTTTTTATTTTACTTTAGTGGCATATAGCATAATGATGTGTCTTCAATTAAAGAAATGTTGAAATATAGTAAGCATCATTTTGTTAAACAGAGAAGTAATCCCGTGAGATGAAACATAGAACAGATAATAAAGAATAGCTAATATTTGCTGATTACTTATTATATTCTAGATGCTATGATAAGTGCATGCATTGTTATATTGAATCATGCGAGGCATTCTAATAAGCCACATTTTATAGACAGAAACTAGGGCCAGTTAAATAAACTTTCCATGTCACTGTATGAATTGTAAATATTAGATTCATATTTTTCATCATAAACTATTATTTTGGAAAGATGCTTAGTGAGTGCTTACCTTATCTTGCTGTGTTATTAAGGGCCAGCCTCCTAAGATATTAGAAAACACATGTGTCTTGAAAGTGTGGGGAAAAGCCATAGGAATTCTCTAGGAATATCTGTATTTGATAAAAAATTTTTTACACATCTATTCTTTTGTTAATGTTACACAAAGAAATGAGTGCTTTCTAAAGTAATACCATCCAGATTTTACCTCCTATCTTTCAGGCAAGTGCCATGGTATACAACTTTCATAAACTACATTGCTCAATGACAGCATCAATACCTCCAATTTGGGCATCCTCCAGGGAAATGGTCATAATCGTAATCACTATCAGTTGAGTACTCACTGTATCTCAGGTACTGTGATAAGCCCTTTGCATACGACAACATCCACATTATTATGTTCATTTTGCTATTATTATTTTAGCAGAGACGAAATCTCACTATGTTGCCCAGGCTGGTCTTGAACTCCTGGCCTCAAGCAATCCTTCCACCTTGGCCTACCAAAGTGCTGGGATTATAGGCATGAGCCATCAATTCCAGTCTATCATGTCAATTTTGAAGATGAGTGAAGAGATCTTAGAAGACTTGAGCTCTCAATGTTGTACAACCAGTAAATGGTGGAGCTGAAGCTTCCTAATTTGAATTCACATGGATGACTAGTAGGAGAGGTGAAGAAGCATTTATTAATAAAGTTGCTGCAAAGATAACAAAGCTGACAAAAAAGGTGCCTGATTTGCATGAGACAGTCTGATTTATGGTTTTTCTTCCAGGTTGTTAATGAGGGCCCCTTGCACTATCAACATTGTCCTGGCTTGAACAATAAAACATAGTTCATCTCCATGTAGTAAGCTAACCAGGATAATTCATAAACAATCAGAATTGGGCTTCATTCTTAGTGAGTTAGGGTATTTAGAAGTAGTGGGTTCCATTCAAGTTACTTTGTGTGCACCTCAAATAACTGGCTGCTGGATACTTAAATCAGAAGGATAAATAGAGAAGTATTTGCATGGCTTGGTCCAAATCATGTATACAAATGTGATTTCTAAGGAATAACAGCACCCTAAAGCTAGATCATCAGGGCAAGGACTTGCTTTGCTGACACCAGTTTAGAAATAAGCATATTTATTACACTATATAAATATTACTAATAAGAATGTTGATAATAACTCCCCATTAAAGGTTGCACTCACTGCGTGAAAGCCTACGCCTGCTGATACATTGCCCACAGGTTAAGTCAAGTTGATATAAATACTGTAGTGTGCCAACAGAGAAGAATAACACAAACACAAGTTCCAAACAATTATGGAAAAAAGCCATGTCGTATTGCACTAAGTATTTTAAAGGCTTTTTTACTGTAATAAAAACATACCATAGACATATATTGTTTTACAATATATATATTTTTTCACAATTGTAAAACTTATGTCATTCATCATTTTAATTGGTATGAGAGCATGACTGAGATCTGAGTAGAACAAATTGTCTCAGGTATGCTTAGAAGATCGGTTCAGCTTAAATTAAAAGGTGTTTTCATGCTGGGCAGATGCAGAGATCTCTTTGTTTTGATCAATTTATCTCTGCAACTCTAGAAACACCTCACATATTGTCATAATATTTCTCACTGTTATTTGAATGCATAGTGAAATAATATAGTTATCAAGTGACACTTTCAATGTGTTCATTTGTGAAATAATACTTTCAAAACACAAAAATAGTGTAATACCAACACAATATAAGTGACCAAAAAACAGAAGGATGAATAGGAATGGCAAACCAAAAGGAACTTCTTTATCTCCAAAAGGAAGTCTAAATTTTCTGATATTTTTCTTGTGGAATTTTAATTCTAAAATTGCAATAAAGAATCTTAGATTTAATGCCTCTAAATTTATTTTGGCAAAGTTTTTGCGTAGTCAAACTTCTATCAATATGAATAATTTAAAAGGCTTTATCTTCTCTCCTCAGTAGCATAAATTTTGCTATACTTCTTAAAAAGTTCTCTCTCACACATTGATAACATAACCATCATCTTCATATCTACTTTTTGGGGGGTTGAAAAATAAAAAAGGAATCTTAGACCAGTAGGAAATACAAGGGAAAAATCTAAATGATTTTCTGAAAGTTTTAGACTGTATAGTATAAAAACTGGGTTACTCCATCCCTAAGATGAATTCTTAGTCATGACTTTCATAGTTAATTTCTTACTCTTTCTACTTTTAACATGTAACTTCTTTTCTTTTTATGATTGTATTAATTAATAGGACTATTCGCCTGTTGATTTGTCCGTATTCCTATTGAATTTCTACAAACAGCTTTGTATTTCATGTGGTATTAATATATTTTTCCTGTTTGTATAAACACAGAAATTAGGAATAGTGAGAAAATTTCACACAGCCACACATAAAGCAAATAATTACAGCATACTTCACTCTGATATCATAATAACAGCTACTGTTTATTTGGGCCTATCATGTACCATACACTTTATAAATTATCTCAACAAAGCTGCAAATTATTATCATCATTGTACAAATTAAAAAATTAGGATTCAGAGAATTGGAATGATATGCTGAAAGCCACAGTGTGATGTTTGTATTTGAACTCTTATCTGTGTGGTGCAAAACTTGAACTTTTCTCACTATACTATTTTGTGGTAATTATCTAATCTATAACATTATCTATCTATCTAATCTAATGCCAACATTCTCTGTGCTGTTTCAGGCCCTAGGAAAGATAACGTGCTCAGACTAGTCACCACCAAAGAAAAAAAAAGCGGTATTTCTTTAAGGCAGAAGAGATCTAAACATGAGGACTAAATTAGGAAGATGGATTAGGGGGATAACAGTGGAGATACTATACATACTCCAATTACTTACAAACTATGTAGGGAAATGTAATTTTGCTTTAGAGATGTTACATATATTCTTTGAACTTTAATGAAAAAATCATTTATTCCTTTAGCGCAAAATAACCCTCCTAAATACTAATTGATATATTTATTGTTAATCTGTTAGGAAACCATACTTAATTGACGCCTATGCTCACCCCCCAGTTTATTCCATTTTATTCTT
Source organism: Homo sapiens (assembly GCF_000001405.40). Taxonomy (NCBI): domain Eukaryota; kingdom Metazoa; phylum Chordata; class Mammalia; order Primates; family Hominidae; genus Homo; species Homo sapiens. Next base: position 87,172,548 of record NC_000003.12, read on the forward strand.
AGTTTTTCTTTTGAAAAGATACTCTTTACAGTAACTTAAACAATACCAACACAAACATTTTAAAGTCTTTCTACATGGAGATATTTGTTTCTTTACTGCTCCTTTTTCTATTTACGCGTCTTCTCCAAACATTTTTAAAAATCTATTGATTTTTTATAGTATAGAAATGAAAATGAGAGTTCAAGTAATTATCTTCAATATACAAATTTCTTCTACAAAGAAGTGTGGGGGAAAGAATAGAAACTGGTTTTCCATGAGTTAACTGAGTTGACTTCTTGTATCAATTAAGAGCATCGTATAATTGCTCATCTTTCATACTCTTGCCCTGTAGCTATAATGAAAAGAGAGAAAAAAGTAATTACTCATGCTTTGCCTTATTCTGAATTGGGCAAAATTCAATAGTTTTTCAATTCTACATATGGTAGAAATTCTGTTTATTTTAGTCCTGAGACCCTGAGATATTTTTCTAGCACATGGTGGACAGAGACCCCTATTTCTGCATTTAGATCATATGTTTATTTATGTCTTAGTAATTTTAAAAATACCAGAACAAATGGCAAGCCAATCCATAATGTCTTCTGCATAACTGTGTGGGAGTCAAACCACAAATATTATCTGTATTTATTTTAGGCTCTCCCACCCTTTGGCTGTCTTCGTAGGACTGTTTACCAGGACGACACTCCTGGGCAGCAGTGGCGCCACATCCATTTGGCATAGCTGTCTACATGGGATCTTTCCTTCTGTTGTCTTTCTTTGGCACTAACTAGTGAATGAAGTCATGCAAAAATGTCTGTCTAGTCATTGAGATGCCTAGGTCTGTGATGATGGAGACTGTTAATCTGGTAGTATTTCCTACTGGTTTTGAATTATCTTCTCTATATACAGGCTAGTGGTTGGCCTGAAAAATGTGTATCAAGCTTCACATACCTAGGAGTGATGTGTACAGGATAGGAGCACAGTACATGAAGTAATGACCCATAGTGGAGATAGGTCACCCTCTCCAGCTGGTTGGCAAACTCTCATTGAGCTTTCCAAATAGCCCTTAATTTGAGTTTTATCTAGACATACTTTCTTGGAATTATGGACTATACACAATGGTTTCGTATACACTCCTGTTACTTTTCAGATATTGATAACCTACTTGTATCACAGCACAACTCTTCAATTTGTCTACAGACTGGAGAACGAGAAAAAGATTTAGATGTTTTCAAGGGAGTAGCTGCCAGTTAATCATAAATACTTATTATAAGCACTCACTATGTGATATGGTTTGGCTAGGTATCCCCACTCAAATCTCATCTCTAATTGTAATCCCCATGTGTCAGAGGAGTGACTAGGTGGGAGGAGATTGGATCATGGGGGCGGTTCCCCCATGCTGTTCTTATGATAGTGAGTGAGTTCTCATGACAGCTGATGGTTTTCAAGTATGGCACTTCCTCATTCTGGCACACTCCTCCTCCCGCCTTGTGAAGAAGGTGCCTGCTTCCCCTTCTCCCTCTGCCATGATTGTAAGTTTCCTGAGGCCTCCTAGCCATGCTTCCTGTGAAGCCTACAGAACTGTGAAGTCAATTGAAACTCTTTCCTTTATAATTACCCAGTCTCAGTATTCCTTAGAGCAGTGTGAGAACAGACTACTACACTGTGTGCCCAGAGTACTTAAAAGAACAGAGAGAGGGAGAGATTATTTATAATGCAAGAGTGGTGTCAAGAAAAGGTTAGACTGGTTAAAAGTATTAAAAAAATTCAGAGGACATAGGAACTACTTAGGCTTCATAGTAAGGCAACATTTGGCGTAGAAGGCAGATCTGACAAGTCATCAAAAGCTGACCATGAGTCCCACAGATGAAGTTAAAGGATCATTAACATCATCAACAAACATTTACTGGATATCTGTAATAGGCATAGTGCAAAGTGATTGTACAAAATGGGGGGTAGCAAAATGATATAAAACATAATCCTATTACTCAAGATGAACAATCTAATCAATAGCACACATCAGTACAAAAATAAATAGCAATTCATGACAACAAGTTGTAACGCTAAATACATGATTCTTGACAATAAATATTACATAGTAGAATGGGATTAGGTGGTCAGTAAAGAATGTATGAATTAGGTGAATTTTTCAAGCCTTAAAGTCATGAGGATTAGATGAAGTGTGGTGGCAGCAGAAACAGTGAAGTAATGAGGCCATTGTTAGAATTAAGGAAGGTTGAAGAAAATATTAGTTTAGTGGGAAATAATGTTGATTTCAGTTTAAGGCCTGCTAATTTTGAGTTAACAGTGGAGCAGAAGAGAAGTTTAGCATACAGGTGGACATATAGGACTGGCATCCCCAAGGGTGTCTACATGTACACTATAGTCCTAGCAACCTCTACATGTCTTCAGCTTAATCATGGAGCAAAGCCATTTGATTCAGGTCCTCATCTTGAATCATAATGGAAGTTAAGACTGAAAGTGTAAAAAGAAGTCAGAGTTATCATAAAATTGAAACAATAATAGATCTTTTAATTTAAAAACTGACAAGTTGAACTTTAAATCCATTTTTTTCTTCCCACATATTCAAAAAGACTTCAAGTCCATTTTAAGTCAATTTGAGTGACAAAAATGCAACCTCAAGGATGGAACTGAGTCCTTCTGCCGGTCTTTTATTTCCTAGAGAGTCTCAGATACAAGAATGTTGTTCCTTTGTTAGGTGGAGAGTAGCAGCAGAAACATGTGTGTGTGTGTGTGTGTGTGTGTGTGTGTGTGTGTGTGTGTGTATGTATATATGTTCTTGCTTTGCAAGAATGAAGCTGCCTCAAATTCTATTTCTCTCCTCCCACTTACTGATTTCCAAAACCCCAGGTGTGTGGAAAGGGGAGGTAAGGACATAAATAGTAGGGGTTCCTTTAATATCTAATGTCTGTGTTCAGAGGAATATAAAAAATTTAATATGATATTTGGCAAAAGATGAACATAAAGCCAATAAGAGAAGAGATCAATAAACAATATGGTCAAATCCATTCCACAGAATACTTTTATTGCACCATATTGAATTAATAGAAATGCCTTTGGTACAAATGCAAAATTATTTATGAAACAATAGAAAATCTGCTTTTAAGTAGGAAAAAAAATCACTGCACATGATTTCAGTGGAAAAAAGAACCAGATGTTACACATACTTTAAAAAAACACAATCCCATATGCAGCTCCCCATGAAATATTCAGCACACACAAGTTTAGGGCTTACTGGCTTGATTTCTTTCCTCCCTCTCACCTTCATGCTAATCTTCCACATGTCAGCATTTTTTTTTTGGAATCAGGGTGTGTTACTAAAGTCAAATATAGACAGCCAATTGAGGATCGGTTCCAGTTGAATTTTTTGTAGAATGCCCAGCAATGTCCTCAGCCGTAAAAAAAGGAAGAGGGTGCAGTCACTGCATATCAAGAATGCAAGCTTGCAGGCAGCACTGTACCATTTTCTATCTGTATAACCAGAAGTGGGTTGACCTCTGCTAATAAAGTTAGTAATTGAGCAATATATGAGTAAGGAAAAGGGTTATTTAAATACTCCAAATTCCTGTATTGAAAATGAAAAGTTAGACATAAGCTTACCAGTTAAATTCCCACCACCAAGAGTGACCTATATTTAATTTGATTCTGGTATTGTAACTGGAACTAAGTTTGTACGTTAAATTAAAAAAAAACACACTGAATAAAAAGCAGCTGACTATTCCAATCACATATTTATCCACTTTGTTTTCTTTTCAATTGGCACCAGAAGTCCCAGGAACTCATATGTGCACTATTTTTACTAGCTTTGCTTTTCTAATGTTGCACTTAGACTTTTGACACTCTTTTCTGTCTGTTTTTTTTTGCCCATCACACAATTAGATCTGGAATATTCTGAAATCCATAGCCATTATTAAGAAATACCTGGATACTCCATCACCCATTCAAAAATGCAAACCTTTTGTTTTTATATATGAATTTACTTCTAAATTTAACAATATCAGGGCTATCTACCCTGAGTTAGACTTTACTTTGATTGTTTAATCATAATCAACAAAAATCATTTATAATTAAATAGAAAAATCAGGAGATTTTAGTTTCCCTTTGTTTTCTATTAAACATAGAGACAGGCATGTCCCACACAGATTTCAGATTTGTCCATGAGAGTAAGAGCCAGTCACTCTCTAAAGAGCCTCAAGATCCAAGATCCTGTGGGTTCCAAGTGCACTACAGGCTGGCAGCAGTGGGTTTTCCCCTAGACCTATAGGTTAAGCTCCTGTGAGAAGACTGGATGGCTGGGATGAGGGAAGAGATGTTCTAACCACTACTACCATTTCACTAAGAGTAAAAATATATCAATCACAACCTCCTTTTTCTTTTATTAGAACACAGATAGACAAGCTTTTCCAAACATTTTATAAAGCACCGACAACATTCTTTCCTTCAATCAAAGTACATAAATCACTTACTTAGGTATTTTGGATTTATTAATGAACAAAGATAGCAAGACTCTTGACCTCCATAGAGTACTTATATTAAAAATGATGTAGATTTAGTGTTGCCCAGGCTGAAGTGCAGTGGCGTGATCTTGGCTCACGACAACCTCCGCCTCCTGGGTTCAAGCGATTCTCCTGCCCCAGCCCCCTGAGTAACTGGGACTACAGGGGTGTGCCACCACTCTCGGCTAATTTTTTTGTGTTTTTAGTACAGACAGGATTTCATCATGTTAGCCAGGATGGTCTCGATCTTCTGACCTCAAGATACGCCCGCCTCGGCCTCCCAAAGTGCTGGGATTACAGGCGTGAGCCACCATGCCTCGCCTCAGCTGCTTTTTATTCAGTGTGTTTCACGGAATAGTTTTGGAACTATTTGGAACTATTTGCTTCTTACTCAGTGTGTTTCCACAAGCTTTACCACTGGGTGCTGTGGCTCACACCCGTAATCCTAGTACTTTGGGAGGCCAAGGCAGGAGGATCACTTGAGCCCAGTAGTTGAGACTAGCCTGGGCAAGAAAGCAAATATATACAAAAGAAAGAAACAGAATTTAAGGCAGCTTCATATATAAACAGGTCTAACTACAGAAATAGCATATGGATGTATATGCAATCAAAGCATGCCAATTAATATATATTATTCATGTACATTCATATATAATTTAAATATACGCATACATGCAGCTATGTTCACAGAGTATGTGTGGTTTCTGTATAGACTATCTTAGAAGACAAACAGAAGTCATCTTATTTGAGAACAAGAGTCATGAGCTTGTCAATTTAGTCTACCTTTCATAATAAGAAAGGCTCTTATGACACATGTAGGGGATTTTCCTGAAGCTCTCTCATAATTCTTATAACCCATAGCAATCCAAAAGATACTTTTAGTCAAACTACAGAAACAGATTCCTGACAAGATAATAAAGAAAAATAAAAGTAGATGGAGAGGGATACATAAAATGCAAATCAATACATTATCAGATACCATGAAGATATATCAAATATTTCTGTCCTTAGTACTGAGCAGAAAGTCCCCGTAGTTAGTACTATACCTGATGAGAGGCCCTTTAGTTATCAACTATTTAGTACTAGACAAACGACAAACCCTAAATCTGCTTTCCCTGCACAGTAAGAAAAGCTCAGCTATTTGTAACTAAGATATGCAGAATTATTTTTTCAGCATTGTCTTCACTTCCAAAAAAATTCAAGAAAGACATTGATAGAAATAATTAAAAACTGCCTTATATTGGAGATGACCAATCATAATTGTTAATACTAAAAACCACAAGCCTTACCACCAAGTGCTGTGACTCACACCTGTAATCCCAGCAGTTTGGGAGGCCAAGGCAGGAGGATCACATGAGCCCAGGAATTTGAGACCAACCTGGGGAAGAAAGCAAGACCCCTTCTATACAAAAACTACAAAATAATAGCCCAAAGTGGTGGTGTGCTCCTGTAGCCCCAGCTACTTGGGAGGCTGAGTTGGGAGTATCTCTTGAGCCCAGAAGTTTGAGGCTTCATTGAGCTATAGCCACCATTGCTTTCCAGCCTGGGCAACAGAGTGAGACCCTGTCTCAACATCAACAACAACAGAAAAAAAAAAAAAAAACCTGCAAGTTTATAACTATAAGCTTTCTCCCTTTTTCCTTCTACCTTCTTCTCCCTCTGTCTCTTTCTATGTTTTTTTCTTCCATACTTGAAGTCTTACATATTTTCTCTAAAAAGTAAGCCTTGAGAAGTAATTTCTATAACTTTACATCAATGCACATTTAAAGAAAGAGTGGGGTGTGTTTAGTATGCAAAATTGGAGATAAGACACAGCTGTGAATGCCTAGATAACAACCCAAACTGAGACAGAGCCAAAAACTGAAATATTAAATATCCCCAATGGAAAGCTGAATGCAACAATTCAGTTTGGTACCTATTAACCGTTGTGCAGGGTCCGTAGTGCTTAGAGTTACAAACTATGGTGGTTTTCAAACAATACCTAGGCTTGAGGTTTGACGCTTTAGTCATAAGATATACCAGCAAGATAGACACTCAAAAGGATGAGAAATCTAGCTGGATGGCACTTGAAAGAACAGGTAGAGAAGAAGATATGGCCTTCAGGAAATCAGTCCTTGAATATGAAGCCCAAGTCACCAACTGAGTTCTGAGGCAGAGTCCAGCTCCCACATAATAGAGCAGATAGGAGCAAAGCAAGGCTATTGTCCCAGAGGAACTAGGGAATTAGACAGGCAATGAAAGCATTAATTAAAATGGAAACAAAATCAGAAGCTGAGGTCAACGACAAGTATATCCAGGACCTGGCTGTAGATGCTCTGGCGCCAAAAACATCTTTGGAGCAACAACATCACAGAAGGCTCAAAACTATGTGAGGCCCAAGTGTCAGCTCTGTCGTCCATGGTCTCAAGTCAAGTTTCCCACAAATATTACTGGTAATATGAGATTGAGCTTGTGGGGACATAGTGATCTTGCTTAGTTCAATACTAAAAAATTCAGAGAGGAAATCTACCATCTATCAGAATGCTACATTCTATATGTCTGCTGTGCCAATTGCTTTGCACACATTTTTTTTCTAATCCTCACAAGCACTTTTTGGGTGGGCATTATTACTTCCATTATGATGATGAAGGAGTTAAATACAAAATAAAGGCTGGCTTAAACTCTTAAGACCTTATTGGTCTAGGAATCAAGGCAGGGCTTAATGTTTGAATAGGGATATGAAAAGCTAAGGATTGCACAGAGAGACAACTGACAGATGGCTTTCAGCTGATTTCCTGAGAGCATTATCATCTATCTGCAAGTCTTGTAGTTACCTACCATATGTAGTAGTCATGGGGATCTGAATATCTATTCAAGATGATATGGTGAAGCCCTGCAATGTGCCAGAAAAATCTCAGCATTGAGAATATAGTCACAAACTAGTCAGACATTGTCTATTCTTGGGAGTCCTTATGCTATTGGTTGATACCCCAATGAATTTTCTAAATCAATCATGGAAATCCTATGTCCAATGTCCAGCCTAGATTTGTGAGACATGAGAAGTCAGATGAGCATATTTGTGAAAGTTTTTCTTTCCAAAAATGTTACCATCATTCTCTCTTATTATGCAATCACAAAGGAAATTAGCCTCAGTGTGAAGCTGACACTGAGCATGACAGAATGTTGGAGCAAACACAGATACCTAGGCATCTGATCATGCTGCACCATGTCTTGTTCTATTTAGGAACCGTGATTATGTGAAATACATTCTTGATTCCTTAATGTTTGAGCCACTAAAAATTGGTGTATTCTGTAACTTGTAGCTGAAGGTTTCTGAACTGATACACAGTCCAGGACCTGAATCAAAGTATTTGTTCTCTAGGTTAATTTTGCTAAATAAAAGACAGGTCTTTGAAGGCACAAAGCTAGAAAACATTGCATGAGTTGAACTGGGGCAAGTAAAGAGAGAGACCAACTCCAAATGGCAATAAGTAGAGGAATAATGATGCGAGGAAAGAAAATGATCACTGAGGAAGCAGAGCATGAGATGCCCAAGTCCCCCTCTAAAAACAAAACAAAACAAAAATGGAAGGGAGGAAAAACATGGGCAAGAGCCACGGTCAAATATTGAAAAGAAAAATCAGCCCAAATGATTTTCTGGGATCAAACTCAGCTTTCACAGAATTCCAGGAGTGGATTTTGTACCCACCATTTCCATTGTCATCATTGGTTTTAAAGATACAGGTTGTAGAATATTCTACTATAGTCAAATAGCATTGACCTTGATGATTTTCATTACAATGAACTCAATGTCTCTTTTGAACAGTCCTCTCAACTGCACTGATATTTCTACCCTTGGCACCAGTTTTATACTTCAGAGATATAAACAGTAAGGTAGAGTAGGGAAAGATAAAGTGAATTTCTTATAGAAGGGTCTTATATTTAAGTTCTAATTTTTAAATTTCATATTTAAAAAATAATAGCAATCAGCTATTATTATTACTATTTGGTGTTTTTTTGGTTGACATTTAAAAAATATTTAATTGAATTCTCAAACTTAAGAGCAAACATTATTCTTTAAATAGTATAGATACAATAAAATAATAAAAATGCGAATATTACAAGAAGTCTATGCCTTTAACAATCAAAATACCCCTTTAAAAAGATGAAGCTTAAAAATAAAGACATTGAGAATGTTGATAGACACTAACATCAACTGTAGTAGCAGTTAAGTATTTCTTATATTTTGAAAATTTTAAATACTGTGAGTCTATAAAGAGCACAGTTTTATGTAGAAATAATATGAAATTAAAACAATAGCTCATTGTTAAAGTTTCATTCTAAGGACAGCAGACATAATTGAGTAACATTAACTCGCAGGAAATAGGACCCAGTGGTGACATCCTGATTACCATTCTCAATTAACACTGCTACATTTTTTAATGCCTATGTTTAATGTCAAAGTATTAAGAGGCTTCTAATATAAAAAATCTATTAGTGTTTCAAAAATATGTTCCAAACCAGGGAGACTAGAAACAGAATGAAACCATATGTCATTTGCACTAAGGTGATAATTTCAGCAACAGGAATTAATCAAGTTTCTCAAGGGAAGGCTATAATTTAAAAAATAGTGAAGAAACTCAGTGTAGAACACTATGCTAAATCAGCTTGTTTAAGACACCAAACAACAGATCTGAAAAGATCTGAGAAGTATGACACATGAGAGAGAGAACATTTCCATATACCTCACTGCCAAGTGGGTCACTTCACATAAATGCTGCCCTTCCCATCTGCTCTTGCTTAACACTGGGGACCCTCACAGGGCCAAGCAATAATATGTCCTCAATATATTGTTCTGGAATAAAAGAACAGTTAAAAGAAAGAAATTAGAGAACAACTCAAAATTTAGGATTCTAGTGGGAAGAAGACTGCAGCAATGCTGTCTAGATCTGGGCACTAGCTCTGACTTTGCCACAAGTTGTTTGTAAATTGTGAACAAATTATTTGACACCCAGTTATTACATCTCTAAATTTGAATTACTGGGACTCTAAAATCCTTCCCAAATCTTCATTCTGTCGACAAAGCTCTGGCTTAAAAAAACTAGGCCTTAAAATATCTCAGAAGTTAAGATAAAGAAAAGGAAATATGGAAAATTACCAAAAATTAGTAACGGTAGATGACTTGAAAAATTGTGTTTGTTTTTAAGATTGGAACCATCTGAATAAAATTAGGTAGAACTAATCCCTTAGGGACTGAGTATATTTAAATAGGAACAGCCACTCTAAAATACAAAGATATATTGTAGGAAGAAAATAGGAAGCAAAATTTCCAAATGGAAGAGATTAATATTTAGAAATTGTTTCTTCATATGTTAGTCAACAAACATGTATTATGTGTGTTCTCCATGACAGCTGGCTAGGCACAGAAGGTTTAAGGATAAATGAGAGAAACTTTGTTGTCTGGAGGGGAATAGTCTGGCAATGAGCTCACAATCTAGTTTAGAAATACAATTATGATGATTTCTTAAAATGTTACAAAAAAGAAATTCAATCTGTAATAGTATAGTCCTCAAATGGAAATTTATAGATAATTTAAAAACATTAAAAAAACCTATTTTCATCTTGAATTTATTAGAAAAGTCTAATTAAGCCACTTGAATACTAATCTGAAATAATGACAAATTAAATTACAGGCATATCTGAAAGATTTTGTGAGTTGGATCACAGACCACTGCAATAAAGCAAATATCACAATAAAGCAAGTTACACAAAATTTTTTTGGTTTCCCAGTGCATATAAAAGTTATGTTTACACTATCCTTTAGTTTAGAAAGCATGCAATAGCATTATGTCTAAAAAAGTGTAATCTTAATTTAAAATACTTTATTTCTAAAGAAAACTTTATTGCTGTGGCAGTTTCTTAAAATAAGACAACACTGCCATCGATAGCCTCTTTCAAGATTGCTTCATAGCACACAATGCTGTTAGATGGAACCACCCTCAGTACAAATTCTTTCAAATTTAGAGTTCAATCCTTTCAAACTCTGCTTTATCAACTAGGTTAATGTAATATTCTAAATTGTTTGTTGTCCTTTCAACAATGTTCACAGCATCTTCACCAGGAGCAGATTCCATCCCAAGAAACCACTTTCTTTGCTCATCCATAAAAAGCAACTCCTCATTTACTCAAGTTTAATCATGAGTTGCAGAAATTCAGTCCCATCTTCAGGCTTCACTCCAAATTCTAGTTTTCTTGCTATTTCTACCACATCTATAGTTACTTTTTCCACTGAAATCTTCAACCCCTCAAAGTCATTCGTAATATTTGCAATCAACTGCTAAACTCCTATTAATGTTAATATTTTGAACTCCCCCAATAAATCATGAATGTTCTTAATGACATCTGTGATAGAATGGTGAATCCTTTCCAGAAAGTTTTCAATTTACTTTGCCTCTATCCATCAGAGGAATCGATATCTATGGCAACTATAGCCTTTTTTAAATAATAAGACTCGAAAGTCAAAATGGCTTCTTGATCCATGGGCTGAAGAATGGATGTTGTATTAGCAGGCATAAAAATCACATTTTTCTCTCTGTACTTCTCCATAAGAGTTCTTTGGTTACCAGGTATATTGTCAGTAAGCAGTAATATTTTGAAAGAGATCTTTTCTTCTGAGCAGTAGGCCTCAACAAAGGACTTAAAATATTTAATAAACCCTGCTCTAGAAAGATGCTCTGCCATCCAGGCTTTGTTGTTCCATTTACAGAGCACAGGCAGAGTAGATTTAGGATAAGTTTTAAGGTCCTCGGGATTCTCAAAATGGTAAATGAGCATTGACTTCACCTTAAAGTCACCAGCTTTACTAACCCCAACAAAAGAGTAAGCGTGTGCTTGAAGCTTCGCAGCCAGGCAATGACCTCCTCCCTAGCCCTGAAAGTGTTAGATGGCATTTTCTTCCATCTTAAGCTTCTTTCATCCACATTCAAAACCTGTTGCTGGCCAGAAACTTTGGGATGCCAAAAAGGGAGAATTGCTTGAGCTCAGAAATTCAAGACCAGCCTAAGTAAGACGAAGAGATCCTATCTCTACAATTTTTTTTTAATTAGCCCAGTGTGGTAATGTGTACCTGTAGCCCCAGCTATTCGGGAGGCTGAGGCAGGAGGATCCCTGGAACTCAGCAGTTTGAAGCTGCAGTGAGCTATGATCACGCCACTGTACTCTAGCCTGGGCTACAGAGCAAGACTGTGTCTTAAAGAAAATCAAAATACAAATAATCTGTAGTTTAGTGTAGCCACCTTCATCAATGATCTTAGCTAGATCTTCTGTATAATGTGCCACAGTTTCTACATTAGCATTTGCTGCTTCACCTTGCAATATTATGTTATAGAGAAGGTTTCTTTCCTTAAACCTCATGAACCAACCTCTGCTAGCTCCCAGCTTTCTTCCTGCAACTTCTTTACTTCTCTCAGCCTTCACAGAACTTCATAGAACATGAAGAAAGTTAGAGCCTTGTTCTGGATTAGGCTTGTCTTAAGCAAATGGTGTGGCTCGTTTGATCTTCTGTCGAGATCACTAAAACTTTCTCCATGTTAGTAATAGGCTGTTTTGCATTTTTATCATTCAAGTGTTCTCTGGAGCAGCATGTTTAATTCTCTTCAAGAACTTTTCTTTTGCATTCACAACTTCTCTAAATACTTAGTACAAGAGGCTTAGCTTTTAGCCTGTCTTGACTTTTAACATGCCTTCCTCACTAAGCTTAATCATTTCTAGCTTTTGATTTCAAGTGAGACAGGTGCTACTCTTCCTTTCATTTGAACACATAGAGGCCATTGTAAGGTAATTAAGCAGCCTAATTTCAATACAGTTGTGTCTCAGAGAATATGGAGACCTGAGGAGAAGAAGAGAAATAGGGGACCACTTGTTGGTGGAGCACTCAGAACACACAATATTTATCAATTAAGTTAGACATCTTATATGGGTGTAGTTTGTGGTGCCTCAAAACTATTACAATAGTAACCTTGAAGATCACTGATCACAGATCACCATAACAGATACAACATGAAAAAGTTGGAAATATTGCAAGAATTTCCAAAATGTGACACAGAGACACAAATTGAGCACATGCTGTTGAAAAAAATGGTGCTATATTAGTCCATTCTCACATGGCTATAAAGAACTACCTGAGACTGGGTAATTTATAAATAAAAGAGGTTCAGTTGGCTCATGGTTCCACCGGCTGTACAAGAGGAATGGCTGGGGAGGCCTCAGGAACCTTATAATTATGGTGGAAGGTGAAGAGGAAGCTACCACATATTCACATGGTCAGCAGGAGAGACAGCAAAGTGGGGAATGCTACACATTTGTAAACAACCAGATCTCATTAGAAACCACTCACTATCATGAGAACAGCAAGGGGAAAATCCACCCCCAAAATCCAATCCCACCATGTCCCTCCCCCAACACTGAGTATTGCAATTCAACATCATCACTGAGGAAGCAGAGCAAAACATATCAGATGTCAACGGACTGGCTATGCAGGGTTGCCACAAACCTTTAGTTTGTAAAAAACAGTATCTGGCCAGGTACAGTGGTGTTTGCCTGTAGTTCTAGCTACTCCGGAGTCTGAGGCAGGAAGATTGCTTAACCACAGGATTGTGAGCCCAGCCCAGGCAACATAATGAGACCCCCCTTCACCCAGGACTACAAATTTTAAAAAATATTTTTATCATTTATTTTCTATTTAAAAAAATTTAAAAAAAACAAAGAATGGGATCTGTGAAGCACAATAAAGCAAACCACAAGAAAACAAGGTATGCCTGTAAAAAAATAAGGAAAACAGGACGTTCTCTTGTCATTTGACAAAGGCATAATGCATGTACTCTATAAAAGAAACATCTTTAGTTAGAATACTTAATAAGTACATATTGAGACTCTTTTTCACCCCTTCTCAAGCAAGGAACTTCTGAAGACTAAGATTATTGGGTAAGAGACTAAACATTTTTTTTAATGTTAAACACAAGACTAAATTGCTTTGCCAAAGAGTTCTATCAATTTAAAATGTATTAGTTAAAAATTTCAATCCATTCCCATAAACAAAGAACATACTAATTATTTCAGATTTTTGCTATCTTACCAAAAAATTATGATTTTTTAAAAATGCATTTCTTTTATCACTATTGAGAGTCAATGTATTTCCATACGTTTACTAATTCTTTTTTTAATGTAAAGTGTTTATGGTGACATCTTACCAGTTTTTTAAGGGTTGCTGCTCTATATTCTTCTAAGTACTAAGTGGTTTTAAAATTGAGTATATAAAATCTTTATCATATTTCCTGTGAATATTATTTCCCTATTTAGAGTTGTCTAAACTTGTCTGTTTATTTTTGTGTATTTAAAGTTTTCACCCCAGTGTCTCTGGAGCCTCTAGTCCCTACTCACTAAGAAGTCCCTCCGTTTTCTCCCCTCCTCAGTGGTACTGCACATTTAAAGGGAGCTAGCTTGTTTTAACCATGCACCCATATTCTTGGTATATTTTGATAGCAGTATCTTCTCCCAGAGGAAGAGGCTCAGAAGACAAAGAAAGCAGAGAAAATGTAAAATATTTATGAAGTCAAAATACTTCATGAGCACCTTCGAAGCACCAGATACTTTTCCCAGTTCTAGAGATAAAGAAGCTTAAACATGCTGTAAGAGAGATTGCTAAGTAAATAATCATAATGCCACAGGGAAAATGCTAAGTTATGATGGTGGTGTTTTGCAAGCATAGAGAAAGAACACCCACATTACTCCTAGGAGGTGTCCCAGAAGCATTTATGGAGAAGGAAGTTTTCCCTGAATCTTAGACACTAAGCTGTTGTTAATTAAGCTAAACTGGTGCTGACACACATTCCAGGAGAAGTAATAAGCAGGACAAAGGCATGGAAGAGTGAAAGATATGGCTTCATTGGGTAAGCAAATAATTTGGTAGACTGCAGGTAGGGAAGGAGAGACATGAAGCTGGGGAAGTAGGCAGGGATCAGATTACGAAGAGCCTTGTTTGTTGCAGGAACATTATTCTAGATGTAATTAGGATGTTTGAAGAGTTTTAGTCAAGGGAGTGAAGCAGAGCCATGAGTGGATGGGTGTGTTTTAGAAGTCATCCTGAGAACTCTATGGAGGAGGGCTTGGTGTTGGGGATGGAAGAGGGTGAGAATATGATAGGGAGAGTAGTTAGATGCAATACGCCAGATGAAAAAGGCTGAGGATTTAGATCCATGCTAACCAGGAGAATATAGGGTGGGGAGAGAACAAAACTGGGAGCTACTTGAAAATATGAAGAAGGTTATGACAGGACTTAGTGGCATGTTGGCTATGGATGTCTAGAATGAAAGACGGATTGTAGATAACAGTCTTGTCATGGGAACTGCAACCCTGATGTTGTTTTTCTTTCAAAAAGATCTATTGCATAGTTCTAACATAAAAATCAGAGAACTACATAGTCTTCAGGATAAATGATGTATTAAAGGTAGTTTCATTCTTATGCCCACAGATTATAAAAATAATATATGCTTACATTAAAACATTTGAAAATAAAGTTGTTGTTATATTTGAGAGCATTTTCTTTCAGGTTTTCTTTCCAAGCATATGGGGCTGGGACAGTTAATGAGTATGCATATCTATCTCTATGTCTCTGTATAATAGAGATCCCATTTTATACCATACTGCAATCTGAGTTTCTATTTAATATTATATCATGAACATTTACCTATCTTTAGAAATGTTCCTCAGCATCATCAAAGTTTATTTTAGTGGCTATATTAGATTGTTTTATGGCTGTCCCATAATTAATTTAACTTTTCCCTCTTTGTTTGATATTTCTGTTGTTTCTTTACCTACTGCTGTTTTGTGGGTGCATGTGTTTTGGTTCCATTTAGACATCAGTGTTTTGATAAATATCTTTTTACCAAATGTTTTCAAACTTTTCTGATAATTTACTTGTTATAAATTCCTAGAAGTTGAATTACTTTGTCAGAGGGTATAAACTTTTCTCATATCTCATGAATATTGAAAACTGTTTTCCAGAAAGCTTAAAATACCATGTTCTTATTTAATTAGCCATGTGATTTTTATTTAACATAGAATACATCTATCACTGAATTGGATTTGTCTGATATAATTATTTTAATTCCACTGGTTTTAACATTTTGAAAGGACTAGAGACTGTAGTATTGGCAATCATAATTCCTTACTCTCTCTATATATATATATTTTTTTTTTCTTTTTCAGAAAATAAACCACATAATTTTTTTACAGATTTAGGTTTTTGAACTTAAAAATGGAAAAATGGATCAGGAACAGAAGCTACTCACCTCTTCTATGTTGGATATATGTTTCTAGTTTCTGCTAAAATTAATACTGTTCATTGAAGAAAATTTGGAAAATATGCTAATGTCAATAGGAAAAAGAAAATTACTTACAACTCCATCATTCAAAGAAAATTGTATTTAATGTGTGTTCCAACATAGCAGTTTGTTTCTTTCGTTCAAAGACCTGAGCCAAGTGCCTAGAACAGGGCACGGAACATTGGTGGTATTTAATAAACATTTACCAAATGAATAAATTTTTTTAGTTTAGTTTCCAATATTTTACATGGGTATTTACAATAGTTAACATTTATTGAACAATATATCAAGCTTCACGCTAAATGCTACATGCAGCATCTCATCTAATACAACCCTGTTTGGTAGGCACTATGATGATAGTTCCCAATTAGCAGATACAGAGTCTGAGCTTTAAAGAGATTGTTGCGTGTTACATGTCACATTAGAGCCAACTGTTTAAGCTATGGTAAGCTCCCAGGCACCCCGCCTACCAAGGGCATGCTTCTAACCACTATAGAATTCTGTTTCCTTGATAGGCAAATAAACTACAATAATTTTACTAATGCATAATTATTTTAAAACAATTGTTTAAATCATTTCCTAAATCCCTGAAAGTTTGATTTCTCTGTTAGTAACATTTCTTGTAACATTTCTTAAAACATTTCCTTTTTTTTGATAATCTCAGTACTTTACTATTTTAATATTGTGATGTCTTTATTATAAATAATATTTAGTCTATGTTCTGATTATTATGTTAGATGTGATTGCTATAAGTGAACGTTAGGTCAAGGAAATTATTATTATTATTATTATTATTATTATTATTATTATTATTGAGACAGAGTTTCACTCTTGTTGCCCAGAATGGAGTCCAATGGCACGATCTCAGCTCAACGCAACCTCCGCCTCCCAGCTTCAAGCAATTCTCCTGCCTCAGCCTCCTGAGTAGCTGGGATTACAGGCATGCACCACCATGCCCAGCTAATTTTGTATTTTTAGTATAGACGGGGTTTCTCCATGTTGAGGCTAGTCTCAAACTCCTGACCTCAGGTGAGCCGCCTGCCTCGGCCTCCCAAAGTACTGGGATTACAGGCATGAGCCACCATGCCTGGCCAAGTAAATCATTATTTTTAAGATTCCTGATTCAAATTAAGTAGTTTACACTCTCTACAAAATCATGTGTTCATTATAACTACACTAGCAGCCTTCAATCTTTTTGGTCTCTTACATACTCAAAATTTATTGAAGACCCCAGGGGGCTTTTGTTTATGTGAGATTTTACTGTCTTTGTTTACCATTATAGAAATTAAAATTAGAAAAATATAAACACACAAGCTCACGTTCTGTTAGTTATCGGAGTGATGACCCATCACACATTAGGTAACCTCTGGAAAACTCTACAAAACATTTTGGGAAAAGATGAGAGTGAGAGGGCAGATAGTGTCATTATATAATTGTGAAAATACTTTGACCATATAGTCTTCCTGAAAAGTTCTTGGGGATCCCCAAAGGTTCCTGGAACAATCATTGAGAACCCCTGTACTATACCATTCTTAATATTTTAATTTACCATTTAAAAATATTTTCATATTGATGGGCAAAGACAATATATCATTTATGATTTAATTTGCATTTACTTGAATCCTAGCTATTTGTGTCTCCCTTTTAGTGAGCTTCCCTCCTCATGTTGATTTCTTTATCTTTCACATTTTCTCATTGTTCGTTTCAAAATCTTTCTTCAGGTTTTCTCTTGAAATGTAGACAATAACAACTTTGCTTTTTGTTTTCTCTCCAGCTTGCTGTAGCAAGTTTATATTACTTGTTATTGACTGCTCTGGCAGAGTATAAGCTCGTAAACCATCAGAATAAACCCAACCGACTTCATATAAGCCACAGCTGATCCTTGTGTAACCTACAAATACTACCAGAAAAAAAAGAAATTCTGAAACACTGACAATCTGCTTAACTTCTCTCTGAGTGTTTGGGATGTATAATGTCCCTAAAGGTAAGCAAACTTCTCATTCTTTCCTCCTAATTCTGATCTCAAAGGTGCAAGTCAGGAGATAACTCACAGGAAAAGAGGTAAGAACTCTGAGGCTGTTCCTGCCACAAGTGGCAGAACAGACATCCCTCCACCACTGTTATTGTACCACCCAAACAGGATCTTTATTGCTCTTACTTTTACCAAGTTGAGTCTTCGAACACTTGTTTCCAGAATACCCACTGTTCCAAGCACTACTTCTTTTGCTATTTAATATCAATCTCTTAAAAAATATTTAGTTTCTAAATGATTCTACATTTGTATTTCTAGCCATCGTCTGGCTACATTTTCCACTTTAACATACGAAGTTTGGATGTGTTCTGAATATAATACGGCAGGAATCATGTTGTTTCAACCAAAAATGTATTGTTTTTTCTAGATATTAGTCATATTTCCTTCTATTATACATAATTCCTATGTTTAAAAAAGCCAGTTTGATTTTTCCACAATAAAGTTGAGTATATCTTTTCAAAAAATCCCTTGCAGCATTTAGGTTTACATAAATTATGTTCTGTCAAAGTATTTTATAATGACAACATTAAATATTGCCCTAAGGAAAAATATAGCTAAAAGTTGACTGAGAAGTAATACCTTGGTGCTATTCCACATTAGAATAATTTTTTATTTCCTGGAGATAATATTTTATGGTCATACTTTTGAAAGAGAACCTATATTTGCCCTCAAAGTAGAATATTTAAATGGGAAAGTTAAGGATTCATGATGCATTACCAAATTATGAATTTGACTGCTACCTCTATATATTTGTACTCATAAAAGCCCCCTTTCCACTTTGGGCTAAATGAAGTGGTTAATAGTTTGGGCAGAGTACTTAGCTTCTGAAAATAGCCTGCAGATAAAGGATGCCATTAGTGATAAATATAATACACAACTGACAATTTATATACAGTGCTGGTGACTAGAGTAGTACATGATAATTAGTAAGCACACCTGGCGACTCTCCATATCCTCCCCTCCATCTGTTGCTTCACTTTCAGTTTTAGGCAATCGAATATTTGAGTATTTGGATGTTTTAGTGCTGTTAGATTTTGTTTTAAATAAATATATGTGTATACATATGCATATACATTATATACTACAGTAAATAGATAATGCTATTTACTCAAGTACACAAGAACTTTTCTGTACCTAACATGGGTTAGACTAAATATTCAAACGTTTGAAACATATTTCCAGGCTTCATCTAATATCCAGCATTCCTTTTATGTCTATAAAGATAATAAAATCAATTCTGAGTATTGTGAGAACACTATCATTAAAAAGCTGAAAGAGTAAAAGCAGCCCACAAATAAAATATTATCTCATAGTTTTAAAAAGAAATGTTGTCTCATTTCTGGAATGGGAGACCAAATATTTAATGACACCCACAATGTGATGAACTCAGGAAGCAAACATGCTTGAGGAATAGTCATTAAAAATATGGTTGATAGACTCTGACTTCCTGAGTTAAAGTCCATGTTCTGCTATTTGTCAGCCATGTAACCTTGGTCAAGTTTCTTTATCTCTCTTTGCTTTAATTTTTCTCTCTCTTGTCTTAACTTTTGCATCTGTAACATGAACATAATAATAGTAACTGTAAGGTTGTTGATGAGAATTAAATCAGCTAATATTAATAACACTTATAATAGTGTCTGCCATGGAATAAATTATAATATGCTTATGTTAGCTCATTTTAGGCTTGAAACTGTGAAAGATGACCAAATATATGCTCATGCTAATTAATCATAAAATCTTTATTGCTTTATTATTATTTCCAAAATAATTTTACTAAGTGTTAATAATGTCAGAATGAATTCAGTTGAATTTGATCCACAGTTTTGTCATAAATAAAAAGGAATGCTTTCCGCCGAAAGATAATATCTGTTTTAATACTGGCAATTGCTTTTTGGAAGTGTTCCAAATAAGACTCGTATCAATTGATATAACTAACGGTGCTTATTAGTCAATGTACCAAATACTTTTTTGAAAAGCTACAAAAAAATCTTGAATTGCATGTGAGTATTTTTAATTGAACAAGAGACCATAACTAAAACCCTGGAGGTATAGATTAGATAATTAGTCACAGTGTGCTCTTTGCTGATCCCAATAGAAATTAGCTAAATCTAAACTACTAATAAGGAACAGAATAACACGAGTGTAAATAGTGGCCCTATTACTCTCTATCTCTTCATCTATTCTTTTAAAAATGTCTTTCAATGTACATTTTTTTCTTAAATATTGGTCAGAATACAATTTTAGGATGAAATGTATTATCACATAGCTGTAATAAATAATATGGGCAAAAATTCCTTAATTTTCCCCAGTTTTTGAAATAAATTCTAAAATATAAGGCAAACAATGAAACAAATTATCTTATTTCATGTTTTAAGAATATTGATACCATTAATATTTGTTAATAGTCAAATTATATTTCTAAGTTTCTAAAGTTAGAAAATAGCACCCCAATCATTTATATCTGCTGAATTTATAATAAATTATAAATAAAACACAAATTTAAAAAGCTAGAGTTGTGGTCAAAATAAGAATGTTTTATTTACATGAGAACTGCCACTTTGTACCTATTCTGATAACTGGCTCATATAGCTGTCATTTGTATACACATGCAATAAGACCTAGTCTAAATGCCTCCAAAAGCAGCAGACTGGGGCAAATTAAGCAAAGCAATAATGTGGTAAGAATAATTCCTATATCAGTTAGCTTTTGCTGTGTTACAAACCATGCCCAAATTTAGTGGCTTAAAACAACTGTTTACTATTGCTCATGAGTCTACACAAGTTGGCTGAATGATTCTGCTGATCTAGGCTGGCCTTTACTGATCTTAGCTAGGTTCATGCATGTATCTGCAGTCAGCCAGTGTGATGGCTAGTTCTGACTAGCTGGGATAGTGTAGCACTCATGTCTGAATATTGGACCACTGACATCTCCTGGGGGCAGCAAGAATAACTAAACCATTCTCTCATCATATAGAAATTAGTTTAGGCTTATTCAAATGCTAGTCAATAGTGAAAGGAGAGAAAACACACACAATATCCTGATGGCTGAGCTCAGAACCAGTACATCACTTCTGCCAAATTCTGTTGACCAAAGCAAATTACAAAGCCAACCAGATTAGAGGAATGGAAGAATAAACTTCACCACTTGAATGGAGTAGCTATAAAGAATTAAGGTCATTTCTGCAATCAGGCACTGACATGTTGGGTAATTCAGGAATAAATATTATTTTTTAACTGAGCTCATTCCTAATCTAAGTACAGTGAGCTCTATAATCAACAAACTGCTCTTTTTGTTTTTGCCTCTGAGAACTTCTCTATATACTGATGCTCCTCAACTTATGAGGAGTTTACGTCCCAATAAACCAATCATAAACTGAAAATATAAAACATCATAATTGGATTTTATATACCTAAACTACTCAGCATCATAGCTTAGCCTTGCCTAACTTAAACATGCTCAGAACACTTACATTAACGTGGAGGTGGACAAAATTACCCAATACAAAATCTATTTTATAATAGTGTTGAATATCTTATATAATTTATGAAATACTATATTTAAAGTAAAAAAACAGAATGGTTGTATGGGTACTCAGAGTGTGGTTCTAATGAATGCATATTGCTTTCACACCATCGTAAAGTAAAAAATTTTAAATCAAACCACTGTAAGTCAAAAACCATATGCAATATTAGTCAGGTGATGGAAGTATGAAAAAAGGGGCCAATCCGCTTGTCTTCAGAATGCCCTGAGATTTTTTAGCCATGGTTCAACTAAATCACTTAATTGTTAATTCACAAGAAAAGATTTACAGACTAAAGACTGTTGATTCCAGGTTAATAAGTCAAATTCCTATACTACCTTTACTTAAAATTAGCTGAATGGAAATAGCCATTGCAATGGTAAAGTGTGTTCATTTAAAAATACTGACTCTGTCGAGCTTCAGTTGAGTTGCCCTCCCAATCTGAAGCAAAACAATGTATTAAGCTAGTATTTGAGCTATGTGCCTATAATCCATAGCTAAAAGTCTTTATGCAACAATTTAGAAGGCTCCAGTCATTTCTATTGAAATGTAGTCAGTGCTTACTATTTGTTTTTCTGTTCTAAGCACCAGAATCTTACCTGCAGTTTGCAATGAAGATAAGACTCCAATTCCTGTGCTTCTTTGTGAAAGTCTTTCAACTTTGGATCTCTATAGAAGTGACAGAAAGAATTAGTTGAGAAAAATCTATATCGTATACAGTTAATGTGAGTGTAGATTACACACATATATGTATATAAACACATATCTGTCTTTGTTACACAATGAAAAGGATCCTTGACTATCATCTTTCACACAAGCTTGTTCCTCCTCCTATATTTCATATCTCAATTAATGGCACCACTTTTTGTTTGTTACTTAAGACAGAAACGTAGAACTCTTTCTTAATGTCTCCTCTCATTTATTCCCTGTCTATAATGAATAACCTAGTGATATGGTTTGGCTATGTATCCCCACCCAAATCTCACCTTGAATTGTAATAATCCCCATGTGTCAAGTGTGGGATCAGGTGGAGATAATTGAATCATGGGGGTGGTTTCACCCATGCTGTTCTCATGATAATGAGTTCTCACAAGATTTGGTTTTATAAGCATCTGACATTTCCCCTGCTGGCACAAATTCTCTCTCCTGCTGCCCCAGTAAGAGGTGGCTTCTACCATGATTGTAAGTTTCCTGAGGCCTCCTCAGCCATGTGGAACTGTGAGCCAATTAAATCTCTTTTCTCTATAAATTACCCAGTCTTGGATATTTCTTCAGAGCAGTATGAGAATGGGCTAGTACAGTAAATTGGTACCAGAAGTTGGGTGCGGCTATAAGGATACCTCAAAACATGGAAATGACTTTGGAACTGGGTAACAGGCAGAGGTTGAAACAATTTTGAGGGCTCAGAAGAAGAAAGGAAAATGTGGGAAAGTTTGGAACTTCGTAGAGACTCGTTGAATGGCTTTGCCCAAAATGCTAATAGTGACATGTACAATGAAGTCTAGACTGAGGGGGTCTCAAACGGAGATGAGGAACTTGTTAGGAACTGGAGTAAAAGTCACTCTTGTTATGCTTTAGCAAAGAGGCTGGCAGCATTTTGCCCCACCCTAGAGATCTCTGGAACTTTGAACTTAAGAGAGATGATTTAGGGTAACTGGCAGAAGAAATTTCTAAACAACAAAGCGTTCAAGAGGAAGCAGAGCATAAAAGTTTGGAAAATTTGCAGTCTGATGATGCGATAGAAAAGAAATAAAGATTTTCTTGGGAGAAATTCAAGCCTGCTGCAGAAATTAGCATATGTAACAAGGAGCCCAAGGTTAATTACCAAGACAATGGGGAAAATGTCTCCGGGGCATGTCAGAAACCACAGCAGCACTTCCCGTCACAGGCCTGGAGGCCAAAGAGAGAAAAATGATTTTATGGGCTGACTCCAGGGCCTCCCTGCTGCTCTGTGCAGCCTCAGGACTTGGTGTCCTGCCTCCCAGCATTGGCTAAAAGGGGCCAGGGTATAGCTCAGGCCATTGCTTCAGAGGGTGTAAGCCCA
Organism: Homo sapiens; assembly: GCF_000001405.40. Taxonomy (NCBI): domain Eukaryota; kingdom Metazoa; phylum Chordata; class Mammalia; order Primates; family Hominidae; genus Homo; species Homo sapiens. The sequence continues at coordinate 87,195,997 of NC_000003.12, forward strand.
AAGCCTTGGTGGCTTGCATGTAGTATTTGACCTGCAGGTACAGAGAAGTCAATAATTGAGGTTTGGGAACCTCTGCCTAGATATCAGAGGATGTATGGAAACACCTGGATATACAGACAGAAGTCTGCTGAAGGGACAGAGCCCTCATGGAAAACCTCTGCTAGGGCAGTGCATAAGGGAAATGTGGGGCTGGAGCCCACATGCAGAGTCCCCACTGGGGCAGGGCCTGGTGGAGTTGTGAAAGAGGGCCACCGTCCTCCAGACTCCAGAATGGTAGATTCACTGACAGCTTGCACTGTGCATCTGGAAAAGCACAGACACTCAATGCCAACCTGGGAAAGCAGCTAGGAGGAGGGGCCTTACCCTGCAAAGCCACAGGGGTGTAACTATGCAAGGCTATGAGAGTCCAACTCTTGCATCAACGTGCCCTGGATGTAAGACATGGAGTCAAAGGAGATCATATTGGAACTTTAAGGTTTAATGACTGCCCCTTTGTTTTGGCCAATTTCTCCCATTTGCAGCAGCTGTATTTACCCAATGTCTGCACCTCCATTGTATCTAGGAAGTAACTAACTTGGTTTCGATTTCACTGGCTCATAGGTGGAAAGGACATGTCTTGTCTCAGATGAGACTTTGGACTTGGACTTTTGGGTTAATGCTGGAATGAGTTAAGACTTTGTGGGACTGTTGGAAGGGCATGATTGTCTTCTGAAATGGGAGGACATGAGATGTGGGAGGGGTGAGGGATGGAATTATATGGTTTGGCTTTGTGTCCCCACCCACATCTCACCTTGAGTTGTTATAATCCCCATGTGTCCAGGGTGGGACCAGGTGGAGGTAATTGAATCATGGGGGTGGTTTCCCCCATGCTGTTCTAGTGATAGTGAGTTCTCACAAGATCTGATGGTTTTATAAGCATCTGGCATTTCCCCTGCTGGCACTCATTCTCTCTCCTGCTGCTTTGTGAAGAGGTGCCTCCTGTCATGCTATATGTGGCCACATTCCAATATGAGGTGATGCACTATGTATGCAGACTTACTAAGAGAGTGGCAAGACTGGATTTGCAACTCTCAGCCTGTCACCCTCTTCCAAGCTGAGGGTGTAGATAAATTTTCTGGAGTGCTTTACCATCCACCCTCCCTCCATTGCTGGATATACACAGACACACCCACACACAAACACACCCCCATGCACTGGGAAAGAAAAAGAGGTGGTTCTTCCCTCTTGATGTAAGTCAAGTGATAGGACTTGGCCCTCGAAGTTTGTTAGGTACAGAAGCTGATGCCAGATGTGTACCTTAAAAAGTCCACAGGGAATAGACTGAATGGCAGAGGTAAGAGGCTACAATGGAAACAAATCTCATTAAAGGCAGAAGAAAGGTATGTGATGCTCTCTGGCTGGAGAGTAACATAAGTATCATGTGCAGCCTGAAGCCCTTTTAAGTGCTACTACAGGAGACTGCCTAGTAGGTTTATATGACCCCAATAGAGTGATGGGCCTTTGGATGCTCATGGTAGGGGCCTGAAGGAGGGGTCATATGTGGAGTGAAATGGACTACGTGAGAACAGTATTGCGCACCTCAAAGGCAACTCAATCAGAAGTTCCCAGCTGTGCATGTACCTGAGGAACCCAGGAAGGCATCTAGCAGGGCGTGTTGGTATTAGCAAACAACCACATCTAGAGAGCACCATCCACTGGATTTTATACCTGTGCCTGTCAATAAGCTCCTTCCTGTTTCTTACATCTCTCCTCTTTCAGTCGTTAACCTGGAAGGGAGTCAGGGCCATCCCAGAGATGAATGTTAGGAAGGGGTGTGGAACAGCAAGGTGATCCTTGCCCTGGGTAAATTTTCCTTATCTCCCTGGCAAAGAACTGTGGAAAGTGAGAATGGGAAGTAAAAGCAAGTTTTGGAATCAGGAAAAGATGCTACAACAAGTTTTTCTAATACAAACTTTCTTTCTCAGAAACACTACAAAGTTTTTTGAGAATGTGTTTATATACAATATTCTAAAATTTATACAAATTTGATGACATACGTTTGCAGCATTTGATGGTTCCTTGGATTATAGAACTAAGCTCCTCTTAGCCATAGGTACTCCATGTATTTGAACAGGTAATATAAAATGCCCTAGAGCTTTTCTCAGGAAGGAAAATAAAACATCAAACCCCCTGAGAAGTTTTCTCACTAATAATAAATAAATCTTTTAAAACACAATAAACTCTCTGGCTCAAGGAATTTAAGAACCTGGGGAAATATTCTGTGGTAACCCCTCTGGCAACATGTGAATTATAATGCAGTCTCCCCTCCCTGCTCAATGAATCCGATCTATTATAATATGAACAACAATCTATTTACTACAACACATTAAGAAATCCAAATATCTGGAACAGGTCATATCTCATTTGCTATTGCTGATTAAAACAAATAATAGGATAAGATGGCTTTCTGCCTATTTGATCACTGCACTTGTGTCTAAGACTGTTTTTGAAATAGAACTAATACTTTAATACTTGAATAAATATAATTTTCTAGTTGTACTGATCATATGAAATAGTTTGAAAACTGTTACTTTGAGTATTTTTGCAGTGGTGACTTAGGAACTCTCACTTATCAAGACTGTGTATTTTGTTACATCAAGGAGGTAATTCTGACACGTCATCACACTATGGAAAAATATGATCAGTTATAGAAAAATAAAATTCCCTCTATTTGCCATTTTATTAATAGATCATTTTGTAATTATCGGCATGACCTCTAGTTTCTATTATTTTTCTATGAGCTGTAAAAATGGTGCTAAAAATTAGTATAGAGCACACCACTAGATGTTCAGTTAAGTGACAAGCAATGGGTAAAACTGAGCCTTTCCTAGGCCTGTCACTGCATGCCCAGTGTTAGAGGACAGACTGTCATTTCTCCACTGTCACTCACTTCATAGTTGTTAGCTATTCTTTTGTGAGTTTAAAGAGATTTCTTATACTTCTGTTGAAATACCATTAGTTCCACTTTTCATACAAAGAACAATCTTGAAAAGACAGATTATCTATGCACAGAGGAAATGATTTACCCTGAAGGGCATTTTCTTTTTCTTTATACAGGGTATTTTTAAATGTCTCAAGTGATGAGGCTGGTTGTTCAACCAAGTTCAGGAACACACTTTAATTCCACCCATTATCTATCATTGTGAACACAAGCCTGCTGTTTTTCTCTGCTGATAATCTATCATCTTACAGGAGTGAGGGTGGCTTCAAACCACAGGAGCAAAGAGCAGTCACAGATTTGGCTTACAAGGAGATTTATAAGTTGAACTCCACACAGAGAAATATATTCAACTCAACTTTTCCTTGCTCAAGTTATGTATAATGTTCCTTCCCTGTCTCCTTTTGGAAACTTAGCTACAATAGAGAAAAGTAACCAGATAATGAAGACAAAGTAGGAATGGGTAAATCTAAAATGTATATCTAGTCTTTCAGAATTAATTTCCAGAATATTATTTTTAATGGGAGACAAATCCTTATTTTCTGCACATAAATAGAAACCAATAGGGATGTCCTACTGAAGGACTCTCTCCTAAATGTCCTTATTCTTCCTTCATTATGCTATCTATTTTCCCAGGATAGCAACATTAATTTGACATGGCTGAATTATGCTACCTACTGTTTCCTGTATAGCACTTTCAGTGCCTCAGGCTGGGTTTCCCGCTTTGGGGATAGGGGCCAGAAAGATATTTCTAACTCTCCTGTAGTATGAGAAGCAATTAAGCTACAAGTTGCTTAGCTGTAAGCAGTTAACCTCACAAACCTAATAAATTATTTGATTATATGGAATGCTTAGAACTTTGACCCCCTTTAGTAAATATGCATGAAATTGCAAAACTTATTCTCTTTTTTTTTCACTTGATTATTTTACTATCTCCCACTTTACTCCATGCTTTAAGACGTACAAGTAGCAAATAGGATAGATGCATGGGTTCTCCCATTGCCAAATCATATGACTCTATTGTCTTTGCTGCTACTATGTTCATTGTTTCAGTTAAAGATTGTACCACTTTATTTCTGCATATGAGAGAAAGCAGCACTTTTGTCTTTGTCCCCTGTACTCAATTAAAAACAAACAAACAGGCATAAAACATGGACACTAATGAACCAAAACTGGTCTGTAATTAATTTTAAATTCACTACTAGTTTAGAAAATTAGCTAACACTGCAAATTGCATTGACCACGATCAGACCCTTGATAACAAGGCCTATTGTGTGAAATGTGCAAGTCAGCAGAAACACAAATGAAAACCTTTCAGCTTTAAACATTTCTACCAGCATGAAAATTGAACAAAGCAAGATGAAATCTGAATTTTTTAAAACAGCTTTAAACAACTATGTCTCACACAAGCTCAATTAATAAATCACTTCAAAGTACAGTTTCCTTTTTGCATATTCATTTTTATGAGGTCAACCCATCAGAGGAATGATAGGTATGAGAGAGCAAAATTCTGCCTTTTATTCCTAGAACCTCAATAATAATATTCCAGGCAGTCTTAGTGCTCAGATAGATACGTATAGAAATAGCCTTTATTCGATTGTGAAAATTAATTTGAAAATATGCAAAATTAAAGGAATTTGCACCATTATTTAATGCAAAGAAAGGGAAAATGTATCATAACTTTATAGCTGAATAATTCCCTAATCCTGTTTATACCTAATTAATCCTGAGATTGCTTGGCTTTTAAAGAAGTGCTCTGACAACTAAATCAGAAGTTTATTTTCATTCTAATTATCCTGATATGTTATATAGTATTCAATATTTACATACTTAAGACTTGTAATAATTTCACATATATGTATTTGTTGTTGTTATTTTTCTACTTTTAAAGCAATACAACTTTCATCTGTGATTTTTGAAATAGTCCAAATGGTACAAATATAATTCTGGATTGCAGTTCATCCTCAACCATGATGTTCCCTGGGTTTGAAATTCAGTCTCATCATTTGTCAACTAAGGGAAATTGTTAAATCTATTCAACACTTAGTTTTGTTAGTTATGCAGTAGAGAAATCTGTTATTCCTGTCTTGTAGAGATAGCAATTACAGGAGCAATCTATAGGACTGAGTCAAAGAATACAGAAAAGATACTTGTTCATCTTTCATAATTTTTCGGTTGATAATCCATTTCCCCTGAATTCATGCCCTTACCTTCTCTAGACCTCCAAACAGCTCTGGAACTTGTGGCCAATCTTTTTGATTTTCATCAGTTTTCATCATTATTTGCTTCCTGAGTACTCTCACTCATGAGAAGATAATTTTCCCTCATCATTCACGTTCTCTTTCTTTCTTTCTTTTCTTTTCTTTTTCTTTTCTTTTTTTTTTTTTTGAGATGGAGTCTTGCTCTGTTGCCCAGGCTGGAGTGCAGTGGCACCGTCTAGGCTCACTGCAACCTTCGCCTCCCAGGTTCAAGCGATTCTCCTGCCTCAGCCTCCCAAGTAGCTGGGATTACAGGTGTCTGCCACCATGCCTGGCTAATTTTTGTATTTTTAGTAGAGATGGGGTTTCACTATGTTGGCCAGGCTGATCTTGAACTCCTGACCTCAGGTGATCCACCCAGCTTGGCCTACCAAAGTGCTGGGATTACAGACACTCTCTTTCTTGAATCCCTTTCCAGTGAAAACATGTACACAGCACTTCCTCCTATCCATTGAAAAATCTCATTTAAAATTCTTAATGACTTCCCCAACAAAAGAAAACAGATGCTCCCCCCAAAACTCCAGATGCTGTACAATGTCTGACACCATACACAGCTAATCTTATATAAACTAAAGATTCATTTTTTTCTCTCCTTTATTTTTTTTCTATAGCACATTGTTCTGCTTATGAATGTTATACATACAGTCAATTATCCAAGCTAATGGAGGCAAGCTGTGGGAGAGATAATTAAGAACAGTACATAATCTACCCTGCTATTAGTGCAGGTGTCAGCAAAGAGTCTGGCCTGAGACATCATTGTAGGGGGTGTGTAGTGAGGAGAAGAGAGGCTTGTAATCCCAAGATAGTTATAGAGTGTCAGGGAAAAGCCACTGAGGAGGGATGGGGGAAGCAATCCTGGTGAGGAAGAGAACGTTGACAGATGATCACTCATTAATATGAATGTTGTGAATAATCTGAAATTTACTGTTATGTTTAAATGCCTATTTGGAATATGATACTAATTAGCTTAAAGCCATACGCTTGATTTATATCATGAGCAGTTTCCCTACTCCACTGGTTATATTTTAAGGTGGCAGACCTTGCCGTTGGTCTCAGAAGTCAATCTTACAAATGTGCCCTTGTGATAAGTAAAGAAAGTGGCATAACCCATATCGGGCTGGGTATATTGAAACAACCAACATATTCAGTACAATATATTGAATGTTCCTGTCATTCAACATACACATTCTATAGATTGTGGGTCATTTCTGTTCATTTTGTACATAAAAATCAAGAAGTATATTTGAAAATTATAATCAATGGGTGTTTAATACTTTTTTCAGCATTGTTTCAATCATATGGTCTGTTTAAATGGGCAAGAAGATGTGAGCTTCTCCTTATTAATTCAGTAACTATTAAATAAAGGCCTATTATATTGTTTCCTGCCCTAATAAAGCTTATGTACTGATGAAATTGTGTATATGCAAGAAGGCAATAAACTCTTTCTATATAATAAAGACATAGTAAGAGCTTCGCATATACAATAAAATTGAAATCAACCACTGAAAATAAAGAAGCATTAAAATGTACATAGTAAAATATCAAGAGCTGTCCAGAATTACTTCATTCAGTGGCTTAAAAAATGATAATAATGGAAATTCCTTGGCAATCTAAGGGAGTTTGTCATTTTTTCTCCAGCAAGTGCATCAAAGCAGCAAAAGAGTAGCAGATGCAGACCTTCAATTTATAACCATCTTTCCCATAGCTTTATGCTATGGTCTCCTTTGGGCAGTAAGACTCCAGGGTCTCAACTAGTGAATTTTTCAATTACCAATACTATCCTGCCCTGAGAGATAGGAAGTGATAAAACAACAAGTAAGAAATCATTTTTCATAATTCTTCAGAGTCCAATCTAGCCTCAAACCCGCTTCTCTTGCAGTCCATTCACGTTATGGAAGCTGAGTTTTAGTGGATTCTATTGCCTCAGAGTGGAATCACTTCACATATTTTTCAGTAGATTAGCCTCTGGAGTATTTCTTTTTTACTCACAAAGTCTAGTAAAACAGAGTATAGCCTACAAGCATCCTCACTAAGGAGACATAAATATCAAACAAAATAATTCTAAAGTAGCCTTGCTTTCCAATATTTCAAACAATGTTGGTTTCTTTTAATAAGCATCTCAACATTTTTTTCCCAACTGGTTGAAGAATTCTGGAATATTTAGATTAAGGATTCAGTACATAAAATCCCAGTTGATTTGTATGCCAAGAATTATGAAAATTATGAAAGATCTGCATAAAAGAAAGTTGAATGTCCAAAGGAACTAAATTATAACTTGTTATAAAATAATTTCTTCTTTCAAAGAAGAGGATCAATAATATATTGAATTATTAAAAAAAATATAAATAGTCCATTTTAATTGCTTTACTTTTGAGGTCAATAGATAATGACTTTCATTTTTATAAAATATTTCCATGTTAATGACTTCAAGATCTATTGTTTCAGGGATTTTCCCTAGGCACATGAAGCTAAAGTTGAAAGCAGTTAAGGGTGCTTAAATTCCTTTACAAGCCTATTATAAGCCAATATTCAATCAAAATGATTATTGCCAGCCATTAAAAAATACACTAAGTATCAAGGGTAATAACTCTTGCATGTTATTACTGGGAATTTCTACAAAGCAAAGGGCTTTTGTGTTGCTGTTTGCAAAGACTGCTTAATTTATTTGACATCCTTGGGAAAAAAGAAATCTGCTGTTCAACCAAGAAAAAAAAAAAAAGAGTAGGTTTGTCCCCATTATCTCTGAACAAGAAGTGCCAGGAAGCTTCGGGCTAGAATTAACATGAGATAGGCTATTACAGTTGTAAGAGCATTTAGCAGCCTTCCCTACTGACTTCAGAGTGATAATATATACAGCCTGGGTATAATCTGTCTCCTCTGCTGCTCTTTCTTTGCCTGTCCTCCTCTCCTTCTTTACTAATATACATGCCTTATTGTAATTCATGATAAGAAGTGAACAACAGTATTTTTCTACTAAAGTGACATTATTCAGTTGGAGTTTTACCTTTGGCAAAGTCATATAAAGAATCACCGTTTATATGTAACCATTTTTAAAAGCCAAACACAACATTCAAATATAAGAATATTCTATGACTCATGCTTTAGAAAGTAAATTAAATCTGGTATCTTTTCCAATACGAAAGGTGTTTTCACATATTGTTAATTTTCACAGCCAGAGAATGCAAATATTATTTAGACTATGGTATCATCATTTATGAAACAAAAAGCAGCAGTGTTAATAACTGAAGAATTTTCATCTCTTATTATTTTGTGATTAAGAATACCTATAACTATTGTTGTAAATAATAATATCTACCTGGTACTGAGTATAGTCCAAAGTAAATTTAAGCAAAAACAGCTTCTTCCTTGAAACTTACAAGATGGAATGCACCACAAGTGATGTTTGAGTATTTTTAGTTACTGAATTTCTCCAGGTGTTTTGAGTTTAATTTATCTTAAGTTGATATTAATCCTCTTGACATTAAAAATGCAAAGCAAAACAAAAAAAACAGCATATGCATGTCATTCAACAATTTTAAAAGGTCAGGCATCATAAAATCCAACAAATAATATTAGGGTATAAAATTATAAGATAAATAAGATGTTATTTATCTATGGAAATTTCTTTAGGTCAATTTTTTTCAACCTTTACTCTACTGACATTTAGGGTTGTCTAGTTCTTTGTTATTGGAGGCTGTCCTGTGCATTGTGGATTTTTAGTAACATCCTTGACTTCTACCTGTTAGATTTTATTAGCGCTCCCATCTCACCCCACAAACACAACATGAACTGTGATAACCAAAAACGTCCCTGGGGGGACAAAAGCACCCTCATTGAGAACCACTGCTTTAAGTGAAAAACCTAATGTAAATTTGACAATATTGTAATTACATCATTAACATTGGGAAAAGAAACTATCACCAAACTCTCAGTTGCAACATACATATTATGGATAGCAAGATAGAGCTGGGCTTCTCACATATTTCCTATATACCTTCTAGGAAATTGAAATATTACAAATATATCAAAAACTTATGATTCAAATATCACAAAACTTTTGAAATGCCATTGTCCTAGTCTGTTTGGGCTCCCATAACAAAATACCATAAAGTGAGTGGCTTAAACAACAGAAATTTATTTTCTCACAGTTCTGAAGGCTGGAGGTCCAAGATTAGGGTGCCAATAAGCTACATGGTTGGAGTCTGGTAAGGGCTCTTTTTGTAGCTGGCAGATAGTTTCCTCTTCTTTGTGTACTTACATGATCTCTTCTTGGTGAATGAGGTGGGTGTGGGGGGCACAAACAACCTCTTTAGTGTCTATTCTTATAAAGGCAATCCCATTATGAGGGCCATACTGACAGCTCATTTAACCCTAGTTACCTCCCAAAAGTCCCAGCTCCAAACAATACCACATTGGGGGTTAGTGCACCAACATACGAATTTTGGGGTGACAAACATTCGGTTCATAACAACCATTAAATTTCTAGCTTAGAAATTGCATGTTGGTTGAGACAAGAAGTAAAATATCTGTTCCTATATTCCTGGAAGAATAAGATAAATAATTGTCAATTACTTTTTAGTGTATCACATATCTTCGTTGTGTGTTCAGATTACATAAGCATTATTAACACTACTGGACATTTTTATTGATTAATTTTAAATTATGCTAGGTCTTCCACTTATGAGTTTGTGTTTTATTTACATTTATATAAAATAAAAAGAAAAAGAAAGAAATAAAAAAACTACCCAAAATATATAGGATCCAAAAACTATGTAAAATAGTATTTTTACTATTTACTAAAACACTAGTCTCGGTACTGAAAGTCTGAATGTGATTACTCTGACACACAGGGAAGGAAGAGTGACTGAGGAGTTGAGCAGGTGGGTCTGAGGGGATGCTCAGAGTGACAGAGTGATTCTGAGCAGCCATTTCATGGCAAAGTTGAATACACGTTGTGACTCATCCAGTTGTACACTGATAATTTGTATATTTTTCTTTATATACTTTACAACATAAAAAAAATTTAAGAAATGTTATGAATCACACATTTATGAATCACACATTTACTGCTTTTGCAGGAAAGATAAAGAAGACAGCCTCAACCCTCAAGCAAGTCAAAGTCTAAAGAAAGATTCAGACCTGCAAACAGATTGCACAACACAATGTGGTAAATGATAAATGACATATATGAGCAGAGTTCTTTACTAACACAGACGAGGAAATAATTAACTATGCCTGGGGAAATCAGAAAAGATTTTATGATAAGTAGCATTTGAACTGGGTCAGGAAGCATTGTAAGGGCTCATATTGCTACAAGTTAGTTACAAAAATGTAATTTAGTTTTGAAGAACAATTATAAATATAGGTTACCTGATCGTCAATCACCTTCAGGTAGCTCAATATTTATTGATTAACACTAAAAAAAATGTGAACCAGATGCAACCAAGTAAAAAAATCCTTGCCTTATTACCCAGAGTTTTATCTAAAATAGTAATAGTAAGCCTGGACATGTGTTTATGCTCCAACTGTGGATGTCTTTGTCATTGAAATGAGCTTTTCTTTTTTTTAACCATGTGACAATGAAAGGCAGAGGGCAACGAGACAATAGAAGAGATGAAACAGTAAAATGTCACATAAATGCTGATGGAGTACATTATGCAAATTGATACTATGCAAATACTTAAATGTAGTCTTAGTAATGAAGAGATATGAAAACATGAAAAAAATTCTTCAAAAATGGTTGCCAATCATCAGTGGCTGATTATGAATACAAAAAACTAACCCTTGAGGAAAAGAGCAATGGCCACATTCTCATTGATCCAAAATTTAACTGGAAGGAGATGCAGGCTCTGAGATACAGAGTCGCAGCAGCATCCATGTTAACAAGAACTGGAGTTCAAAGAGGAATTACTCTCAACCTTGTATACTGGTAAGAGGGTCTGTTTCAGGGAGTGGTGAGAAAACACATTAATTTTAATGAAATAAAAAGTTTGGCTTAGGAATTTCTGTTTTAGTGGAATTGTATTCTTGAGTACTGCTCTTCTCTGTCAAAGCCACTGTTGAATGATATGCTGGAAAAATTACTCAACCAGAAGTAAAATTTCACATTATTTAAAACCTCTATTTACTTTACTATCATTTTAATTTGGGAAATCCTCACTCTTTTTTCTTTAGCAAAACTCTCTCAAGATGGAACACTCAAATTAGTCAACTGTCAGGAGTGCTCTTGTAAGCTTCAACTCTTAAATTGTGGTTTACTCCTCACAGCCACCTAAATTTTCAGACTTTTCAGTGTCTTTCTCCATACTACATATTTTCTTTAACCTCAACTTGGGAATTCAATAATTCATCCTACTCTATTTTGCAGCTCAATGCTGAATTTAACATAATGGCATTTGCCACACTTTCCTGGATTCTCTTGTTTTGTCATCTTTCTGCTACACTCTCAAAACTATTTACTCCCCATGAATCAATACAAGCCCCACCTTTAATCCTCTTTTATGATGGATGTCTCATCCACTGGTAAAGATGAATCACGTTACAGCATCCCTTAGCATTCACACAAAAATGTGTTTTCTACTTTAAACTACATCAATAAGGTGCTTCCTATTACAATTACATTTTTGTCTATTGTTTGAAACATTTGTTCCAAATATTTACTATGCTCTTCAAATTCCCAAGCATATCCCTATCCCACACTGTTGGTAAAGATGCACATCAGTCAAAAATCCCATAACTTCTCTACCAGGCTCAGTTATCCACATCCAGAGCTGCACACCCACTTCTTTTCTCCTTCTCTGTCTCTGAGATCAAACTTCTCCAATTCTCAGAAATCAAACCTTTGACCTATGAACTAGAAATTATATTCTCTTTCCTTTTCTGTTGATCTCACTCCACTAATTATCCTCTTTCTCTTTTGCATTATACAGATTCTCTTTTACTTACCTAATTAAAATAGGTAAATTCTACTCAATCCAAAAACAACTCTGATTCCTTTTTCCAGAGAACAACAAAAACCATATCTCCATGTTACTACCTCCTACAGTTACTGACTTAGCTCCCTTCATGCGCTTTCTCTATTTGGCCAAACTTCTTGAAAGAATACTTTAGACTTCCTTTTATTTGTATCCTAAATTTTTATTTATTTCTTGTAAAGGGGTAAATAGGGAAGCGAAAATCTGGCTTGAGCGTATATAGAAGGCTATAGGTCCTTGGGCAGATTACATAAGTTTTCTAAGTCCCAATTTCCTATTCTATAAAATGTTGTTACCCACTGTGCAAAATTGGTAGAGGAATTGAATAGCATAATATTATAAAACACTTGACACAATACCTGATATAGTATAAATGCCCCATAAATATTATCTATCATTATTCCTTAATATTTTTGTTTTTTTTTTTTTACTATTGTTCTTCAACCCACTATAACCACTTCTGCCCATAAACCCATCCTGCATAATTCTACGGAGTCACCCTTGTGAGAATCACCAACAACCTTGTCAAATCCAATGAACTACATGAAAAGTTTTTGTTCTGCTTTAATACTAATATTTGATGTCGTTAGGTGCTCTTGCCACTTGGAATACTTCCTTTATTTGATGTTTACAATGTCTTCCTCTCTCTTAGTTCTTCCCTCTACTTATTCCTTATTTGTGTCCATTGTTGAATACTTGCTCTTAATGAGCTGCTAAATACTGGATCTCATCAAAGTTCCATCCTTGATTCCATTTTCCTCACTTCCTTGAATGTTCGTTAGGAGAGTTTACTTGAACAAAGCTGATGACTCCAGCTTCACATCTTCCTTGAGCTCCGAACTATTTTCAGTTCTGTGCTGGAGGGCTTCACACAGATGTCTCACATACATACGAAACATAGGATGTCTAGGGTGGAACTCATTTGCATTCCCCTCAAATAATGTGCCTTCTGCAATCTTTATCCTAATTTTCTCTATCTACTAGTCTGCAGTTCTAATTTTGGACCTATCATAACTCAACTGAAATATTCAATTCATTTCTTTTTATCTAGTGGATTTGCACTCCCAGCTTATCTTCCATACAGTTGTCTTCTCAAAAACCAGATATTGGCAGTAAGCCAAGATCGCACCACTGCCCTCCAGCCTGAACGACAGAGTAAGATTCTGTCTCAGGAAAAAAAAAAAAAAATCAAATATTGGCACTACAACATGAATGTACTTAATACTAATGAATTGTACACTTACAAATGATAAATGTTATGTTGTATGTATTTTACTACAATAAAAAAATCAAATAAATAAAGTGGTTCAAATGCTGAGGACATTTAGTGGTCTTTAGTGGTTCCCACTACTACAAGCTCTTCATCATTGCAAATAAGATATTTCAGATAGAGCTCCAGCTCAATTAAGCCACGACATATGCTTTTCTAAAGCTTACAGATTTAAGAATTTTATTTATATTTGCTGAAAGGGCTCTCTTTTCTTTTGTTTCTCTCTCTCTTTTTTTTTTTTTTTTTGAAACAAAGTTTCTCTCTCTTGTTGCCCAAGCTGGAGTGCAATGGCATGATCTCAGCTCACTGCAACCTCCGCTTCCCAGGTTCAAGCAATTCTCCTGCCTCAGCCTCCTGAGTAGCTAGCTGGGACTCCAGGCATGCACTACCACGCCCTGCTAATTTTTGTATTTTTAGTAGAGACAGGGTTTCACCATGTTGGCCACGCTGTTCTCAAGCTCCTGACCTCAGGTGATCCACCCGCCTCAGCCTCCCAAAGTGCTGGGATTACAGGCATGAGCCACCACACCCAGCCTTTTTTCTCTTTTTTTTGAGACAGTCTCCCTGTGTCATCCAAGCTGGATGAAGTGCAATGGTGCAATCATAGCTCACTGCAGCTTCGACCTCCCAGGCTCAAGTAATCCTCCAACCTCAGCCTCCTGAGTAACTGGGACCACAGGCATGCACCACTATGCCTAGATAATATTTTTGTAACTTTTAAAAAATTAATTTTTAATTTTTGTGGGTACATAGCCAGTTTATATATTTGTGAGGTACATGAGATGTTTTGACATAGGCATGCAAGGTGTAATAATCATATCATGGGAAATGGGGTACCCATCCCCTCAAGCATTTATCCTTTGTGTTGAACATAATTCATGTATACTCTTTCAGCAATTTTTAAATCTATAATCAAATTATTTTGACTATAGTCATCCTGTTATGCTATCAAATTCTAGGTATTAATAGTAACATCATGGAGAATGGGGTAGCCATCCCTCAAGCATTTATCCTGTGTGTTTCAAGCTATCCAATTACACTCTTAGTTATTTTTAAATGTACAATGAAGTTATTATTGACTGCAGTCACCCTGTTGTGCTATCAAACAGTTGTAATTTTTGTAAAGACAGGGTTTCACTTTTGCCGAGGCTGGTCTAGAACTCCTGGGCTCAAGCAATCTTCCTGCCTTGGCCTCCCAAAGTCCTGGAACTGGCCAGGCACAATGGCTCACGCCTGTAATCCCAGCACTTTGGGAGGCAGCGGCGGGTGGATCACGAGGTTAGGAGTTCAAGACCAGCCTGGCCAAGATGCTGAAACCTCGTTTCTACTAAAAATACAAAAAAATTATCTGGGTGTGGTGGCACGTGCCTATAATCCCAGCTATTCGGGAAGCTGAGGCAGAGAATTTCTTAAACTGGGAAGGTGGAGGTTGCAGCGAGCTGAGATTGTGCCATTGCACTCCAGCCTGGGCACAGAGTGAGACTCTGTCTCAAAAAAAAAAAAACAAAAAAAAAACTGTGCTGGAATTACAGGCAGGAGCCACCATGCCCAGTGAAAGAGGTCTTTTAGACTCTGAAATATTATTTTAAATTATTTATTACAAAGCTTTTAATTATTTTATGTATACACATAAAGAAAAATGCAAGCAGACTATATCATCTTGGGCAGATTACATGACTTTTCTAAGCTTCAGTTTCAATTGGTTATGAAATTCCTACAATATATTCACAGTCAGAGTCCCACTCTTTTGAATCTCTTTTTGACTCACTCATCACTGACCATGTTTTCCCACCAATTACTATTTGATGCACAGTTATTCCTTATGACCTCACTATTTTCTTCAAGATTTTCATCTTAACTCTGACCCCTGTTCTACAGGTTTTGATACCTGTCACTTTATTAATCTTACCAGAAGATATCAATAGGTATTTTTCTTTTGACAACAAGGACTTACACCCTTTCCCAATGGTCCTTTGATGGTTGGTTGGTTGAAAACTTGGAGATTGCTGTTGTCCACTCTTACTAACAGCAATAACAACTATATAGTTTTGGGTATATTTATTTTTAAACACAGCTGATGTATATCCACTATCTAACTACAACCAAAAAGTGAAATTATGACAAATGTTAAAAGGGGATTGTGCCTGTTTCAGATAACAATAGGCAGTTCATTAGCTCAGTCATTATCCTCCAATTGTGTGTGTATGTGTGCATGTGCACTTGTGTGTGCATGCAAATACAGAATAACATTTTGGGGAAGATATTCTTCAGAAGTATTTTAAAGTCAAAAATTCAACATAGAAGAAATGTTTGGTGATTGGCAGTTATGCAAAGCTTCACAATGATAGCATTGCCTTTCTTCATCTATGTTCATAATATTCAACTTTTTAGTGTCTTTAATATTGACAGGATCATTGTGAGACATATTAAAGAGCTCCAAGATTCACTGGCTTATCCTACTTGACTACACTTATATTTATTGTTTTCCTCAGTTGAATCACATGTTGCTCAAAGTAAAAATGCTACCACTCAATTAGCTGAAAATTTCTGACAAGCTGCTATCAAACACCTTAAAGATAGTCCTGTGCTACAATTGAATTAGTCACACAAGCTTCTCATTTGTTTTGATATTTCATCAATCTACTCTGAGATACACAGCAATTTCCCTTACCTTGGGTTGCATTGCCTTTTATATGATAGCCATTCTTTTTACAAACATCTCAGTAATAAATACGTGAATATCTCATATGTGTGGATCCTATTAAAGCTTTGGTTATTCTTTACAAGAAATTATGGATTTGTATTCATTCCTCCTCTAATGAATATTTGCTTCATTAATATCAAGTCTATGCCCCACTGCTCTGTTTTCATGCTCTTCTAAGTACACAATAACATATTGTTTTAATGCCAAATCAGAGTAATCTTTTTGATGACGTTTTTAGCAATGCACATAACTCAACTTAAGTGACAATAGAATAGCTATAATGGAGTTCCCACATGTGCTGGAAATAACAATTCCATCAAGATTTAGCCAGCAGTGATTGTAAGTTGCCCTCAGCTATTAAAATATTAGAAAAAAAATGTGCTTTACAACAACAAAATATTGTTGATTCCTAGAAAACTCAGAAAAATGAAAATTCCAAAAATTCTTTACTTTTTTCTCAACTGACAATTTCACCCATTTACTTCTTTCTCACTGGATGACTTCCCTTTCTACATTACATAGAGATTAGAGGTGTTATAAGTAAGCTGCTTATGTTCTCATGTGTCTCATCCGGCCTTTGTTCCTTTGCTTACATCTCAAAGGCAAAGATATTCTTTTTCCTTTCCAGGGATAAACTCTCTCTTTTGCTCTTGGACTGGCAAATCTGTGTACATAGCTAACACCCCAGGTGACTGATGAAGGTAGTTTCCAGATCAGTTTAATAAATAATGTTGCTACTATCTTTCCACTGAGAGTTATCATCTTGTTATAAGTATACATAGGCGGCAATATAAGTTTTCTGTTCCTTCTGTTCCCTTCCTTTAAGGTAATCACTATTAGTAGAAAATTGTTTGTCTTTTTGATGTTACACTCAAAAGAATACAGATGTTCTAAACTATTCTAAACTGAGGACACCATGAAACTTTAAAACAAGAGTATTAGTTGCCTTGACTGCAAAATACTCTATTGACTTTAATCCTTTGAGGGTGAGAAGAATAAGAAGAAAGATGAGAGAAAAATCTGTGAATGATAAAAGGTAAAGGTACTTCTGGGCACTCATCGAAGGCTGGTAGACTATGCACTAAAGGGAGCTGTGGATAAAACCTAATACAGTTTCTTACCTTTCTCCATAAGCTATGTGGGTTTGAATCTAATAAATTAAAAGAGAGCTACTGGAGCTATACACACCACCAGACATCATAAGGCACAATGGTGAGGTTATATTTCATTTCAAGTGTCTTGGAAACTATCTACTTCCTTTCATTTTACTCTGAAACTTTTGAAGTGTATTTGATCCTTGCTGCCTCCACTTCCTTTCCCACCATGAGTTGGTCTTTAATTCCATGCATTTTGACTTCCTGTCCCTATATTAATGAAGCTGCATTTCTGAAGGTCATCGGTTATAATTACAAAATAAAATGTCTTTTTCTCCATTTCATATTTTTTATACATTCTGTATGATATTTAACAGTTTTGACTACTCATCCTTGAAATTCTGTTTCCTTCTGACTTTCCTAACACTAAATCAGGGTGGTTTAACTTACTTATTTGTGTTGTTTATTTTTCTTGTAATAAGCTCAAATTTTACAAAAGGAAGAAACTAAGAGAAGTTGGTAAAAGAAGATGGTATATTGAAAGAAAATTCCTACCAGGAAGTCATAAAATGAAATAATTTGGAAACATATAGCTCTCCAACTCTCTATTCCCAAATTGATTTTCTTTAATGCATGGTAAAGGGGTTAAGACAAAAAGGTATTTATCAGGTAAGAAATATTCTCTCAAGCATAAAGACAAGAAAGTGAGCATGTTATCTTTCTCCTATAGGCAAAAGGACATTTAGTAACATGCTTTTAGAAATCACAAACAGAGGTGATTTCTTGATTCACAATAATTTCTTTCATAACTGGATATAGCCCATTACTTAGTGGCTACATCTGTACTCAATGCTTTGTATTCTGAGTGTACCTGAATCAGCAGGGGTAGACATTTGACCCAAATTAGGAATACAGATTTGTTAATCTTGGAATTAGACATTTACAAGGAAGTGACACAAAGGTTTGCTGGGCATTTTATCTGGGTCCTGCTAATAAATATCAGTATCTAGAGAAAAAGAGGAGTTCCTCAAAGTGCTTACAGTTGCCCTAGCATCTCCTCTTCAGATATACAACACAGTGCTCAATCTTTTAATTAAAGGTGTAATTCAATAACAAATACTGCATAAATTTACAGAGATAATCTAGCATTACCTGGTCCCTCATGTAACACTCCATAGGGGAAGGATGTGTTTTTCTCCTTTGTTGTTCCTCATAGGTTTTGGAATGTGCACAAAGTTAAATCGTATGAAAATTTTGGTAATTAAATATTGTTAGAAAATGTTGCTCTTTTCAGGTTAAATCCTTCATAGAGTTTCATTATAAAGTTCAATCCATTTTTTTGTATCTCTTAACCATTTGTTTACCGTCTTGGCTCAGAGAATGCTTGTATGTTCAGAGTTACTTTTTATTTTCTATTCTTTACAACACACCTGTGAGTTAACAAAATATGATTATTCATACTGTACAGATGGTGGGACTAAGGTATAATGCCATCTAAAAGCTTAATAGCAGAGTTGAAACCAGAATTTATGATTCCCCAAACCTCACGTAGAGCAATATTTTCTGTGATATCCCTGCCCTCTCTTTAATGTTCATGAACAAAAGGCTGCATATAATTTCAATTTCAAATCAAAATGCCAACTACATTTTCAGAATGGGTTTGGTCTTTCACTTCAGTACACTAAAGATAATGTTATCAATTATCTTATCAGATCAGGTTACCAAAGATTCTATCAAGCTTTGTTACAGATGTAATGCCAATTCATTTTTTATCATCATAGTTTATTTTAAAGTTTGTTTTTTGCCTATCTCAAAGAGTATGTCAGAAACATAATTCTTGGTTGATTTTAGAAAGTATTATCTTCTGTTTAATTATGCTTCAGTTTAATTCCTTTCTGATTTCTTCTTTGGGGCAGGTTTATTGAAAGCAAGCAGTGATTTCCGGTGGAAATAACGTGTTGAAAATAGCACATGCCATAAAGTACAGTGCTCAATCTTTTAATTAAGGTATAATTCAATAATAAATACTGCATAAGCTTACAGTGAGCATCCGGTATTAGCTGACCGCTCACTTAACAGATACTGAAACACTCTCAAGGGGCAGGATGTGTTTTTCTCCTTTGTTGTTCCTCTTAGGTTTTGAAATGTGCATAAAGTTAAATCATATGAAAATTTTGGTAATTAAATATTGTTAGAAAATGTTTCTGTTTTCAGGTTAAATGCTTAACCCTACATGCCAGGTTTGGAAACCTGTCAGTTTAATCATTCAGAGTAAATCACATCTTATGCCAAGAAACATGAAAATTCAAATTAAACATATTTGACTACTGATAAAGAAAGGACAGAGGAAGAAAAATAATTTGGACTGATATACTTTTGTTCCTTTTTATAAAACAGCTATATATCAATATTAATAAAAAGGTATTTTTCCAAAAACCTGAGTACAGGAAGAAAAGGTATTGGCCTGAGTATGTATTTTACCAATTCCTTTTCTTCTAGGGCCAATTTTGTACTAACTCAGTTAACTGAATACATAGGATAATATATCAATTAATTTACTATAATGCAGAGCAAAATAAATCTTTGCAACATTTATCCTTTAAAATTAAGATTTATTAATGGATTTTCAAAGTTTAGCTTGCCATCCGTGTTGTTCTGACTTTCTTTCTGTCAGTTAATGAAGCGCAGGGGCTAACCTAATTCATATGATTCCCATCTGTCATCTCTGCAGCAGTGATGAAACCCAAAATGAAATTCCATTCTTCATTCAATTCCTGTACCTTGATATTAGTCAGGTAATCAAGCACAACTCCCAGACTCTTGCGTTTTCAGATGAGGAAACTAAGGTCAAGTAACTTGCCCTGGGTCACACAGAAAGACATCATAAGAAAAGGGAACAGATCCAGTAGCCTTGGACTTTCTTAGACATTTCCAAGACCACTGAACCATACTACCTTCCAGGTAATTGCCTTTTGTAACATCAAGTGGGTCACATCTTTTTTTCTTTGTAAGCAGAAACCATCTCTTTTTCTTTCTTATTTTTCTTCTTTTAAACGGGCATGTAGAAATGCTGTTCTCTATTTAGTATTTCTGGTAATTATCTTCAAGAAAATCAGAATACAAATTTAAAGTACTCATTAACATGCTGATTAGGAATTTCTCTCAAAGACTCAAAAGGCTGGAAGAGACCCCCAGAGATCATCTGATCTAGCCCCTGACTTCAGGCATGTTTCACCTAAACAGTTTCAGGCAGATGGAAAACTGTATTTATGACCCCCAAGGAGAGAGTCCCCAGCCTCCCTTGACAACACAACCTTGGGCTTAGATCTGCTCTTCTACATAATGGGTTATGTGCAAAATACAGAAAAAAGAACCTGCCCTCCCTTGTAATGTCAGATATTACTAATACGACTAAGATTATCCATATATGTTTGTATTCAAATATCTTCTTATCTGATCAATATTTCTGATTCTATTTTGGAAAAGTCTTCCTAGTCATTAGGCATTCTTTTACATAAAACCTGTTCTGATTTATTTTTCAATTTGAAATTATATCCTCAAAGATACTGAATGTCGTTACAATTTTAATTGAGTTGAAATGTCTTTTTAGGCTTTTCTGCTTCTGCAATGAAGAATGTATCCCATAGAAATGCTAGTACTTTCTCCCAATCCCTACCCCTTCACGCTAACCAGGATAACTTCAGACTGGGTTTGAGAGAACTGTGAGAACTAAAAACTACTTTTCATGGCTTAGAAATTGTATGATGACATGTTCACATCATGACTTGTCCATGAGAATTGCCTTCCTTACTTTAAATGTAATCTTCATGATCCCAATCCCATTTCTGCTTATGTTTTATCAGAGACTGATCTCATCTTAGACCAATTTTGCTTCAGTCCTAAAATAATTTTCTGTTTACATTAAAATCATACTATTTTTATATGAATGTTAATGAGTGTGTTTCTAAATCTCCACATTGAATGACAGAAAACATTTACTAGGGGAAAAAAAAAAGTTCTTATCCCAAATGTATCTAACAGAATGAGAAGTTTTCCCAAGAGGCTGGCCTCTGATGTTTATACAATCAGCCTCAGTACACTACATAAATTATGCCCTGGGCATTGAAGGTGGTAGAAACATCCTGTCATTTCTTCATATGCCAAAATGTCTGAATGTATCAACAATTTGTACAGATTGCTGAGAGCTTGCCTTCTAGATCTTCTCTCCTCTCCTTTATTTTCTCCTGCTTTATTAAGACAGATCTACAGTACAGGACAAGCATTGGGTTGAAAGCTGGATCTTGCGGGTTCCTAGTTGTAGACCTTCTGCTGAAAAACAGGTGTGCAATTCTGTGAGGTGTGGCAATTCTCTGTTATGTGTCCTGATATACCTATTTGTAAAATGAAGTCCTTATAATAGATGACCTCTAAGGTCCCTTTAGCCTCTAAAATTTTAGCATACATAAATGAACAAATGAATAAATGACAAATGAATAAATGAATGACAATATACAATTATTGAAAATGTTGATCTAGTTCTGCCTAGTTTGTCTTTTTACAATAAAAATTGAATGGCATTTCTCAAATATGCATTTTTAAGACATATTTTTAAAGTCATTTGTATGGGTATTTCAACTAAATTATTGAGTGTCTTAATTACATCTATATTTTTTATTTTTTTTGAGACAGAGTCTATCACACAGGCTGGAGTGCAATGACATGGTCTCGGCTCAATGAAACCTCCACTTCCTGGGTTCAGGCAATTCTCCTGCCTCAGACTCCTGAGTAGGTGGGGGACTACAGGTGTGCTCCACCATGCAGGGATAATTTTTGTGTTTTTAGTAGAGACAGGGTTTCACCACGTTGGCCAGGCTGGTTTCCAACTCCTGACCTCATGTGATCTGCCTGCCTCAACCTCCCAAAGTGTTGGGATTACAGGCGTGAGCCACTGTGCTCAGCCCAAATGTATTTTAATCATAAACTTGATGTAGATTGAATTTTTTTTTTACTTAATATAACAAATATGTGGCTGGGTGCAGTGGCTCACCCCTGTAATCCCAGCACTTTGGGAGGCCAAGGTGGGCGGATCACCTGAGGTCAGGAGATCGAGTCCATCCTGGCCAACGTGGTGAAACCCCATCTCTATTAAAAATAAAAATAAAAAAAATTAGCCGGGCATGGTGGTGCGTGCCTGTAGTCCCAGCTACTAGGGAGGCTGAGGCAGGAGAATCACTTAATCCCAGGAGGCAGAGGTTGTGGTTAGCCAAGATCGCACCACTGCACTCCAGCCTGGGCAACAGAGGAACACTCCGTCTTAAAAACAAAACAATCAAAACAAAACAAAACAAATATGTATTGGATCCTTAGGTGCCAGATATGTGGAGGATAAAAGAAAAAGGCAGTCAGTTACTGAAACATTTAAAATGTGCTGATGGTTAATACCATGAATGCAGCTTTAGCCCCAAATTAAATGTCAATTAAGCAAAATTTTTAGGCTGGATGTGGTGGCTCATGCCTGTAATCTCAACACTTTGGAATGCTGCAGTGAGGGGACTGCTTGAGGCCAGGAATCTGAGAATAGCCTGGGCAACATAATGAGACCCTGTCTCTTAAAAATCAAACAAACAATCAGACAAAAAATCAAAAAACAAATTTAGCTGAGCTTAGTGGTATACACCTGTAGTACCAGCTACTTGGGAGACTGAGGAGGGAGGATTGCTTGAGCCTGGGAGTTGGAGGTTGCAGTGAATTATGATTGCTGCACACAGGAGGAGGTACCATCTCTAAAAACCCCAAAATGATAATATTAATAAATAAATAAAACTTCTATTAAATACTAAAGTGGCTTTACGTATCCACAAAGCAGGCCTTGGAATAAAGTATTAAACCAAGTCTGTTCCAATGAAAAATGTCATGTCAGGATTTGTACAATTCATCTTTCCTAGAAATCTTCTAGGGTTGATCTGAGAAAACATCAGGAGTCCTTCTGCCAAATGAAAGCCAATTAGGTCAATATTTTGAACATGTCTAACCATAATGGACAATGATAGCAAAGGACAGCATATTCGTGTCAATAATGTCAACAGTGACCTTAATAAACATATGGAAGATGTTAGGTACCATTGAGAAAGCAATCTGCAACTGGAATAGCCCAAAGAATATCATGTAGGGCCAATGAATATATACTTTATTTAAAAACTTAGTCTTATCTATGGTAGGCAGAATGTTGTCCCTCAAATATGTCCACATTCTAATCCCTGGAACCTGTAAATATATCATGCTACATGGCAAGGGGGAATTAAGATTACTGATGCAGTCAAGGTTGCTAATCTGCTGACTTTAAAATAAGGAAAATATCAGATAATATTTGAGTGGGTCCAATGTAATCCAAGAGTCCTTAAATGTGGAAGAAGAAAGCGCAAGAAAGTCAGAGTCAGAGAGAGATCTGAAGATGATAGGCTGCTGCTGTTGAAGATGAGAAAGGGGCAAGTAGCTAAAAGAATGCCGTCAGCTGCTGGTTGCTAGAAAAGGCAGGAAACAGATTCTCCCCAGAATTTCCAGGAGTGCAGCCCTGATGAATCATTGACTTTATCTCAGTGAGACCCATTTCATACTTCTGGCTTTCATAACCATAAAATGATACATTTGGGATTTTTAAGCCACTAAATTTGTAAAAATCTAGTAGAGCAGCAATAGGAAATTAATACAGCATCCTTCTGTCCCCAAATGAGGGACAACATCCAAGAGAGTTGGGAGAAACAATGTCTGAACAATCTCTCTTATAAATCAATATCCTCTCCCACCTAAAGTCAAAATGGTTCTTAAGACTCTCCACACCTCTAAATGAAGCAGATGTTGACACAGTAACTGTTGTAATCCATAAAGTCTGTTTTGACATGATAATTCAACTTGTTATTCTAAAGTACAAAGTTAATCCTCTTAATACAAGGTACTTTGCCTGTGTGATTAGTTGTCACTATATTAGTCTGGTTTCATGCTGCTGATGAAGATATACCTGAGAGTGGGAAGAAAAAGAGGTTTAATGGACTTACAGTTCCACATGTCTGGGGAGGCCTCACAATCATGGTGGAAGGCAAGGAAGAGCAAGTCACATCTTACATGAATGGCTTCAGACAAAGAGAGAGAGCTTGTGCAGGGAAACTCCCCTTTTTAAAATCATCAGATCTCATGAGACTTATTCACTACCAGGAGAACAGCACTGGAAAGACTCACCCCCATGATTCAATCACCTCCCACCAGCTCCCTCCCACAACACATGGGAATTATGGGAGCTACAATTCAAGATGAGATTTGGGTGAGGACACAGCCAAACCATATCAGTCACCATCCAAAATAGATTCTCCTTATTTTGGTAAAGACCCTGTCTTAATACTTCTTTATAACTCTTCATGCAATGTATAGAATAGGTCATCACTAAATATGATTATTCAATGCATTATCACAAGGAACACTTAAAAGTGAGTCTCAGGTAAAGAGCCATCCCACCACAGGTATAAATACATATTATTGACAAAATTCCAACACACTGAATGTGTAGGTCTTTGTTTATGAATAGTTGCCTAAACATTTTATAATATAAAAGTAATATTCAAATTCTAACTTTTTATTGCATTCTTTTAAAATGGTGGTTAGTAGCCAAAATTGTAATTCTCACAAATAAATTAGAAACTGCAAGTATGGATAAGCAATTTTCATATTAAACTCTTGAAAATATGATACAATATTCTTCCAGAGTGTGAACATTATACACATTCAGATATTACTTTTCATTACTGCTGCATCTATCAATAAATTCATGGTTATACATTTTAGATATTCTTATATCTAAAAATTATTTTTAAAATTGTTTCAGTTTTTCATCTGATCTTAGGCATGTTTGAGCTTCTGAACTACTTCTTGTATATAGGAGAAACAAATTTAAGTGAAGGTATTTTTTTAATGGGGATATATTTTAAAATATAATAAACTATAGCCCAATTATTGACAATATTTCTAAACAAAATTTCTACTCAGAAATTCAATCATTTATGTAATTTTGTTAGTGACTCCAAGTTGTATAGCTATCTATGGCATCTTGTAATTTAATTCTTGTTGTAGACTTTTTAATTTCTTTGGACTTTTAACTTCTTTGGAACAGATTCATGTATAGATCATTCATAGATTCCTCAGAGTGAGGAATCTCTCTAGCACTACACATTTCATATAGTAGTTGCTCTATAAGGATTTGTTAGATGACTAAATTAAAAAATGCATAGAAGACCATATAAATGTAGCTTGAAATGGTGATTATAAAAAGGCCACCTTATTTGTATGGAAAACGTAATGCCATTGTTTTAGTAAATTATTCATACTTAGTAATAAACATCCAGCCAGCACCTCTCTTAATTCCTATTCATTTAAAACATAAAGTGGGATAGCTATTACAGTTTTATTTTATTTTATTGAAGAACCAAATCCATTACTCCCATACTTACGTTTATTTCTATTTTGTATGGGAGTAGCTCTGCACTCCACAGTCCTTATTGAATTGAAGAGCAAATATATACATATGCTGTGTTGTGCCAGGGGGCACAAATTCTGCTTTGATTTACTCATGTGAAACTCCTATTAACACTGTGAGGAATTCAGGGCAAAGTTTAGTTTATTTTTCAAGAAGGATCATGTTGTTACATATTCCAAATAACACATGAAGTCTTTTAGACTTTAAAACCAATGATGTGCAGCCATACACATTTCGGGTACTCATTTAGCTTTCCATTGACTAAGTCTCTGAATAGTCTCACCCATTCTTTATGGCACATAGTTTTAAAAGCAAGATTTGACAAAGAGGGAAATGTGCTGAGTTCCTGGAGCTATTAAAGTATAAATGTAAAAATTATGAAAAAATTCCAAATTTAAGGCTTACATACTGAAACATGAAAATAATGTTCCATGCGTTATTTGGTAAGAAATATACAAAAATTATACATGTGTTTAATTTGTTGATTGTTGTCATTTAGTCAGCTAGAATAAGTGCTGCCTACTTGCTCTGAATTTGGATAAGTTGAGAGAAGGGAATGAAGACAGAAAGGGAAGATATAGCAGAATTTCCTTCTAGTTAACCCTCTCCTGAAACCAGACCTTCCTCCGTGAGTAAGTGTGGAAAGTAACAATCTTAGACAGGTCAACACTCTTTTCACTGTCCTGCCCCTGAGCAAATACAACCTACCTGGATACCATCTCAAGAAAACTGACAAACAGCTTACATTGCTGGTTATAGGGTCTGAACACTCAAAGAGTCTGTCTTCACATATTCTGGCTGAACACCTTACTAACTATAAAATTTGGGGAAACCATTTTATTTCTGTATTGATTGCTTACCTCTTATTATGGGCTGAATGTTTGTGTCCCCCCAAAATTTAAATGTTGAAACATAATTCATATTGTGCTAGTACTAAGAGGTGGAGCTTTTGGAGGTGTTTAGATAATGAAGGCTCCACTCTTATCAATAGAATTACTGCCCTTACAAAAGAGGTATGAGGAAGCTTATTGATACGGTTTGGCTGTGTCCCCACCCAAATCTTATCTTGAATTATAGTTCCCATAATTCCCACGTTGTGAGAGGGAGCTGGTGGGAGGTAATTGAATAATGGGGGCAGGTCTTTCCCCTGCTGTTCTCATGATAGTGAATAAGTCTCACAAGATCTGATGGTTTTATAAAGGGAATTTCCCCTGCACACGTGCTCTTGCATGCCACCATGTAAGATGTGACTTTGCTCCTCCTTGCTTTTGGTCATGATCGTGAGGCCTCCCCAGCCATGTGGAACTGTGAGTTCTCTCTTCTTTATAAATTACCCAGTCTCAGTTATGTCTTTATTCGCAGCATGAAAATGAACTAATACACTTATTCATTCCTCTAGCCATGTGAGGACACACAGAAGGTGATATCTATGAAAAACAGTCCCTCACCAGATGTGGGACCAGCTAGAACCTTTATTTTGGACTTCCCAACCTCCAGAACTGTGAACAATAAATCTGTTTATAAATTACCCACTCTAAGGTATTTTGCTATAACAGCCTGAATAGATGAAGTCACTTATAAGAAATGAGATATTTTAGACTTGAAAAATGATGATTCTCTCTGTGCTAAGCTTCTACATATCTCTAAAAAATTTTTCAATGTTATATAGGTTAATGTTTTATTCTTAATTTTGTTTATGATAATCATGTAGCATCATGATAGTCACTGTAGCATTATTAAATATAAAGCAGAATACAGTGTAGTTAGTGAAATAGCAAAACAGCTTAAAGTATGCTCAAATTTGAATCCATGTGAAACATGAAACAAATGAGTTGATGTTTTCGCTAAATCCTTACATACATACAGAATTATTTATTGACTTTTAGGTTCTCTAGATCTCTACTGTTGTTCATGGAGATAGATAATGTTAGCTGCTTTTCATATATAAAGAGACTTGAAGTTAAATGTGTCAAATCAACAAAAATGTACCAAATGTATATATATATACTTGTCATTTGGCGTTAAAACATTGAAACATGGATAATATGAAAATACGATTGCATATTAAGTTTCTATTAAATATATTTACATTCTAGTAGGAAAATTATTGAAGGGCCTGACAAGAGATTCTCTCTGAACCCAAGGAGTTTAAAATTGAAGCTGAGGAGAAAAGACAAACAGAAACAAATCTGCACCGAATCCTTCCAGTACCAATGTTAGATACATATTTCTATAACAAGTCAATTCCTACACAAATAACAGATTTAAGAACAAGAAAACCATTATCTTATTATTTATTTGTTTATTTTACTTTAAGTTCTGGGATACATGTACAGAACGTGCACGTTGGTTACATAGGTCTTCATGTGCCATGGTGGTTTGCTGCACCCATCAACCCATCATCTAGGTTTTAAGCCCCACATGCATTAGGTATTTGTCCTAATGCTCTCCCTCCCCTTTCCCCCCACCCCCTGACAGGCCCTGGCATGTGATGTTCCCCTCCCTGTGTCCATGTGTTCTCACTGCTCAACCCCCACTTATGAGTGAGAATATGCAGTGTTTGGTTTTCTGTTCCTGTGTTAGTTTGCTGAGAATAAAACCATTTTTTTATTAAGGAGAAAGAAATGGGCTAATTTGGGGAGGTGGTGGCTGTTAAGGTGAAGGTAACCAAGATCAGCATCAGAAAGCCTAAATCTTCAATTTGTGTTTTCTGTACTACAGAGAAGAGAATTTCAGCATGAAGATTACTTGAGAAAGCATAAAAAGGTAAAACAGCTGGAAACAACAATACAGATAATACAAAAATGATTATTATGTGATATGGTGTGAATGTACCCCCCAAAAATTCATATGTTGAAACTTAATCACTAATGTGATAGTTTTTAGAGGTGGGAACTTTAGGATGTGATTAAGTCATGAGGGTGGAGCCCTCATGAATGAGATTAGTTCCTTTATAAAACAGGTGTGAGGGAGCTGCCTACCGCCCTTTTACCCTTCTGTCCTTCTTGCCATGTGAGGATACAGCATCTCTTTCTTCTTGAGGATGCAACAGCAAGGTACCATCATGGAAGCAGAAAGCAGCTCTCACCAGAAACAAAACCTCTGGGTTCCTTGATCTTGGACTCCCCAGCCTCCACAAATGTGAGAAATAAATTTCTACTGTTTATAAATTACCCAGTCTGTGGTATTTTGTTGTAGCTGCACAGAGGGGCTAAGACATTACGTGCCAAGCACTACTTTGAATGTTTAACATATTAACTCATTTAATCCTTGCAACAGCTATTAGGTTGGTGCAAAAGTAACTGTGGTTTTCGCCAATTACTTTTGTACCAACCTAATATATGAAAGGTGGGCTAATGTTATCTCTATCACATATGTGATGAAAGAAACACGGAGAGCTTCAGTGAACTGGCCTAGGTCTTAAAACTTAAAAGTCACAGAATTGGTCACAGAACTGGGCAGTCTGTGTCCAGAATCAGCACTCTCCAATGTTATGCTATCTTTCTTCAAAAGCTGAACAAGGAGAAGAATGCACCCATTCAAATTATAACCCGAGGTACCCAAAGATGAAAAAATGGCAAATATTTCAGTTTCAGAGGAGGAAACTATGTTATGAAATACTCCAGAAAACAACATATATTTAAGTGTATCATGCCCTTTAAATAAGGAGCGATATAATAATACAAAATGTGTACAGGAGAAATGTGGCCACCAACTAATCAGAATGGACTCTAGCTAGACTGGTGCAATCAGCTGAATATCAGCCTTCTTCAAACTATGGGAGAACAAGCTATTAGAGTACTGAGTTTAAATAGTAAATATTTCTATTTTGTCTTTATTGTAATGAACAAGCCCTGTCTTTAGCTCCTGCTGTGCACTTTTGGAGGGTCTTCCATATGGTTGCTCCTAAGTATTTTGGCATTTTCCCAACTGTTACAATTGGGTCAGTGGGGGGGATTGTATAGGAGTAATAAAACAAGGGTGACTGCAGCAGGGAGGAGTACGATTACTACACACATAACAGCTTATTGCCTCTCATGCGTTCAAGCACAGCTCTATGCCATTCATTACAACAGACAGCCAGGGCAAACTGCCATAGAGCTCACTCCAGAAAAGGCCCGGTCTTGAGTGCAGAGACTAAATCTTCTCACTTACATGTCTTCCTAATGTTTCCTTACTTCATCTTCCCATATCGAGAATAACTTGAGGAGAAGCAAAACAATTATATCTTGCATATTACTACGTCATTCTTAAGAAAGTTTTCTTGAACAGACTCTCAGCTAACTTTTAGCAGCAGCAGCAGCATTATCAGTGGCTATGAGGGCTTGGATATCTCAGGAGGGGAAAAATGGGAAAGGCTGGCCTGATTATCATAAATAATAATCCTTGAGACATGATTCATAAATCCAGAAGTGGCTAATAATATTGACATTATTGTTATAGTGTCAATATTATTAGCCACTTCTGGATTTCTTCCATATCAGAGATAATATTTATGAAAAAAAAAATGCTACCATTATTTTTATCCTGTGGAAGGCAGTGTTGCTTTAAACAGTAGAGACTATATACAGGTACGCACGCATAGGTTGTATTTTCCATTTTATACATGCAAGGATTCTTTAAATAATTCATTACATTTTTTCTTTAACATGATATGCAGTTTTTCACAAAAAGCCCAAATAAACGGCTGTGAGGAATTCTAATAGGATCACCGTATAGCCATGACACTTTATGATTCATGATTTACAAGAAATTAAGAAATAGAGCTGGAGACATTTAGACCAGCCTACAAATTTGTGTGTGTGTGTGTGTGTGTGTGTGTGTGTGTGTGTTTTAATGTTTCCAGGCAAGAACCTTAAACAAAAAGTGTAGCATTAAAAAACTTCCCTTCGTCCTCGAGACCCCCCCAACTCTAGACACTGGATCCCCGGAGACCCACGCTGGGTCGTCGGAGTCTGGAGCCGGGGGCGGCAGGTGAGCGGCTAGGGTCCTGCAGGGGTCTGCGCGGTGCGGGGGAGGTCGCCGAGTCAGTCAGTGCCGAAAGGACCGCGAACTCCAGGGGCCAACAATCACCGGGTACGGAACTCAACGTTTCCGCCAGTTCCTGGATTACTCGAGTAAAAACAAACAAACAACAACAACAACAACAACAAAAATACTAACAGCAATGGGACCGTAATAAATCAACTCGGAGTGGGTACAGGCGGTTCCGGGACAACCCACACTTAGTCTAGGAGCCCGGAGATCCCTCATCCAGCTTTCCCCGGGGCAAGGGGTGAAGCGCTAAGCAAGGCTGATCACTGTCCTCAATCATCACCCAACCCGCGCACAGAAGCCGTGGCCCCACGCTCTCCTATCCCCGCCAGCTCCAGACTCGCCCCGCTGCCAACTCCCGGTGCAGGAGGAACTGGCAGCCGCAGACGTGAGGAAAGCGGCCGCGGCTTCAAACTCCGTAGTGCGCAGGCGCCACACAACGCGCAGGCGCCGCCTAGAAGTGACTTCTCCAAAAAGTGTGTTAGTTCCCGGTCACCTGAGCTCCGGGTGACGCGGCTGCGGTAGCTGCGGATACAAGCCTTCCGCGGGTCCTGCCTGGCGACCCCGACCTCCTCCTGCTGTCTCTCCGCTCCGCCACCCCGAACCCGCCAAGGTCCTGTCCTTTTCCTCCTGTCCTTTGCCAGCGTTGGGCCGGACCGGGCCGAGCCGGGCCGCCCGGGCGCAGTCTTTAACCATGGCGTCCCTCTTCAAGAAGAAAACCGTGGATGGTGAGTTCCAGGCCGGGCTGAAGGGGCCCAGCTCTGCGTTTTCTCGGCGTCTTTCGAGGCCTGCTGGCCGCGATTCTGCCTACTGTCCCTGGAGGCGGGGCTGGATCAAGTGGTCCCACAGGTGACCGCCCTCGCGGCACCACTTCTCTGCCTCCCTCTTGCTTCTGACTCACCTCACCTTAGGCTCACCTAGGCAGTCTGGTTGCTTCCCTATCCTCACGATTCCCCCACCCTCGGGTTTTCCTCAGCAGGATCCTGAGCGTTTCGAGGAGGCTAGCTGGCCCTTGAGTGTCAATAAACTTGGAAATCTGATGGATTTCTTGTTGGTTTCCTCTGCTTCGATTGTTGCTCTTCAGTTGGGCGATATACTACTTGTAGGCATCCATACAGGAAACTGGCAGTCTCGGAATGGGGAGGGAGGGGATAACAGGCTCCAGTTAGGAAATGAAGTTGGGTCTGGGTCAGTTGCTTCTTTAAGAACACCCCATCAGTAAAGAGATGTGAAACAAATGCTTTTTTGATTAACCCCAGTAGAAAAATAAACCCAAGGGAAGTGCCCAGATTTAGTTTTCATAATGGATTTTTCTCCCTTATGATTATTTTTTGCCAACTAAAGAAAGAGATGGGGTATATATTGTCTTCATAGAAGTTTAACATGTAAAGATAATTGTGTTGTTTCCCGCATTTAGCTTAATATCATCTTAAGCGGGGAAAAAAGTGAATGTAAAGGAATGTACAAGTTTTATGGTGCTCATATGCGATGCCTATAATGTGTTTATATAACACTTGATGTTTTCATTGATTGCTACCAGGAATTAAATTCATTCAAGTTATTTAAAAATTGTGTTCCCCATTATATGTTTAGTCTAGGTTGTTGCTGGTTCAACCAAAGAATCACTTCTTTGTAAGGGTCTAATTCTGCCACAAAAGGAGCAGTGGTAGCTAGACAGTGATTGGTACAAATAGGGTGCTCAGTCCAGACCTGGACGTAACTCCTTCATTCCTTTGTGTTGACTATTCCAATGCCAGCAAAATTATTTTGGGGAGGATAACAAAGAAGTCATCTCTGCTCTGCTGCTGTACACTTCATTTCAACACATAATCTACTTTACCTCTAATTTATCAGATGACATAATACATTTTTCCTTACTCTGGGTGACTGAACATTTTTTTGATTTATTGACTTTTTATTAAGTACCATTTGCAATACCTGGAATAACTACCAACTTCGTATATTAGGTGATACAGTGATGTGAAATGGATTTTATGTGTGCTTTTCATGAGAATGCTGCTTAATCTTTAATATGGCACTTTATTTTTTCAGTGTTTTAGCTGCCACTGTTGTGAGCTTCACTTATTTTACAGTACTCCAGGGAGTGGGGGTGGGGGAACGATTTATTTTCTTTTTGCTTGAGTTTTATATAGTTACAGTTTTTTTTTGTTGTTTAGTTTTATATAGTGAGAATTTACTAAATGGAGAAAAAATGGTTTCATCTCCTTTACTGTGATGTTACAATTAGAGTTAATTTTTTTTTAACAATAAAAGCCAAGCATACTAGTTTTAATCGCCTAATACCTGTCAAATATTTTCAAAGACATAAATCTCAGTTCTGTGCTTCCTGGTGCTTTTGGAAATTTAGTGACTATTGTACTTGAAGTGTAGAGGAGAGAAAAAAAGACAATGGGGATGTGCAATGAGTGTTTAACTGTATACTCATTTGCAGTTAATTCTTCCAAGAAATAATGTTTTTGCTGAATAGACTTATTTGTAAAAGAGTCTTAAGGACTCTTGCTAGGAACTATGCCACTAAATTAACCATATGTGCAATTTCCAAATGTAAATTTGGCCAGCAGGTACATTTACTATAAACTACCAAGATGCATACTTGATGTTTTCTTATATTATTGTGTCAATTCCAGTCATTTACTGACATCTTAATAAATAGATCTGTATTTTCGTTATTTTGATATAGAGCTTTACTTTTTTTATTCCCTGTTTTATTGAAAGGAAGTTTTTTTTTGTTTTGTCTAAAAGGTGACAGCATTCTTCTTGGTAATGAGGCTGTATATTATGAATATGAAGTTTAATGTATTTTTATGTCTCTCAGATCGTTGGATTGATCATGAGCTCTTTTATTGTATGCTGACTTTTAAATCTGTTCCAGCAGTAATGAAATTCTGATATATAAGGGAAACATGTACCTGCCTATAGATCTGGGGAATAATTGAATCTTTTTTCCTGTTTGGATTGGCTGGAAGAGTTATATACTGTATCATTAAAGACTACTGCACATGTAAATTTAAAAGGAAGACAACATTACAGCACTTATTACTATTCAGAGTTATGTTTAATTCATTTTGACACAAAGATGAACAAGTCTCTGCGGTGTATACTTTGCTGTAGAAATTAATGAGAGGTATACCTCAAGAGAAGGGAAGGATTCTTTGGAATTTGAAATTACAGTTGAGTACTACTTGGTTTTTCTTTTACCTGTGTAAGGATATACATATATATAGTGTGTTATGTTTACCTACAGTGTTTATTTTCCCCCTTTGTAGATTAATAGTGACCTATTTAGGGAAGCTAATTATGAACCTGTAAATCAGGATCCCACTAGGACTTGTCACAAATGCACAACTAAACATGCTTAAAAGTGAAGTTCTTTAAACACTATATAATTTTTGTCTGTTAACCTCAGTAAAGACAAATTTGACTAAGCCAACACTGTGCTAAGCATTGTGCATGCCATGTCTTATTTCTCATAAAACATATAAGTACTCATATAACATCCTTATAAAATGAGAAAAGCAAAGGACTAAGTCGTGTGTTCAAGATCATACAGCTATTAAGTGTCAGAACTAGGACCTCATCCCTTTGAGTATTATTATTACTTTTTTCTTATTAGAGATTGATACATGACACAGTTTAATTTTGCTCTTATCAAGCACATGGAATTCTCAACTTTTGGTAGATACCATGCAACGTTTACATTCTTTCTGGAACCAGACTTTTCTTTCGGAATTAGTGGTAGAACTTTACTTTCTAATGGTGGTGGAACTGGAAATAACCCACTCCTGACTCTCCCTGGACACAGCATTTCTTCGAAAGTATGGCCAGTTTCTTTTTGCTTTTCATCTAAACCTTTTGAAGGAGTAGTGATGTCTTATCTCCACTTCTTTACTTAACAGACTGCCTCCCCCACCTTACAGCAGTTTGCCTTGCATGGCATGCAATGAGATGTTGCTTAGATCATCAGTAACTTCTAGATTGTCAAATCTAATGGCCATTATTAGTGAACATCTCTTGGGCCTATGTTTTGCATTTGATCCTGATAATTAATTTATTCTCTGAAATTCCCTCTCTTAACTTCCAAGACATAGCACTCTCTTAATTTTCCTCAAATTCCTCTGACCACTCCTTTCTTTCTCCTTTCTGTATTTATTTTTTTTTCTTTTTCTTAAACCTACCCATTATATGTTAGTGTTCTTCTTGGTTCCTTCCTACGCTACCACTGTTCTAACTGCATTCTCTCCCTGCATGATCTTATTTACTCCTATTTTAATTGTAACTTAAGTACTGATGGATCCCAAATTTGTGTCTCTAGATGTGTTTTTGAGTTTCAGGCCAGATATCCAACAATTTGCTGAATATCTGTACCTAGGTGTCTCACAGTACCTCAAACTCAAGACCCCAAACAGAACTCATCATCATATCCTTTGAGGTATCCTCTTCCAGTGTTGACAGTGCTTGATGTTGCCTTCTACCATCAACTAATTACCAAGTCATGCTTCTTTCGCTTCTTAAATATTGGACACATAGGATCTTCCTCTCTGTGTTTGCAACTCTTTCCTCTATTCAGATCCTACTTAACTTGCACTTTACGATACCACCTTTTTGCTTTTCTTTCCTGTAGCTTCATAGCCCTTAAATCCTTCATCCACAAAGTTGGGTATGTGATTGAAACTTGAACCCAAATCTGACTATGTTACTCCTCAGTGTAAACCCCTTTATGAAATCTCTGGCACCAACAGGATCCACTGTGAGTGTTTTAATAATGCGTGTATGGCTCTCCTTGAACTGGCCCTTCCCTTTCTTTCTAGCCATGTCTCTGGACATTTTAGCATCCAGCAGCACTGTTCTTCTGTTCATTGTTATCTCCCATACTCTTTCTCACCCTGACATATTTTTGCTTTTGATGCCCTTATGCCTAGAATTCCCTTTTTATCTTCCTCTAGCTAAGCTGAACTATCCTAGGTTTATTTCTTCTCAAAGTCTCTATGAAGTACTCCTTATGTTCCCCTTTTGTGGCATTTCTTTCTGACTTGGATTCACTAGAACCATAGTAGACCCTCCTGCACTTTCAAAGTTGGATAATGCTTATTCTGTCTCTTCTACATTCCATATTTGTAAGGGGCTTCAGAGTCTTCAGCAGAAATGAAAATATATCTGCAAGAGTTTCTAATTTAGAGATTAAATATCTAAAATAATATCATTTACTAACCAAAGTAGTATTCCAATATCCAGGGCTTAGAAGAGTCTGGATCCACACTTTGCCACCCACTGTGAACTTTAGTGCAAGTTAGAGGTAATTTGAAGAACACTACAGAGAGAAGAGGAACAAAGCTTCTTGGCTTTTGCCTCATTGGGATGATATTTGTATATGCTAGTTGTCTAGAGTTCAAAAACTGTGAGGTTTTGACTAAGTTGGGATAAATCCCCTTTCAATGTATTAGTTGTGATGCCACATTTCTGATGTTAAAAGGAAATAAAACGGAATACCCTTCAGAAACATTTTTTCTGTATTCCAGAATAAAATACACTATTCTCATGGTGGTACCTGCAGAATTCAGATCTTTCCCAGGATGCTATGTGTTCCTTTAGTGCTCCTTATTCTGGATATTTAAAAAACTCAAATTTTACTTTCTACTTAACCCCTACATTCTTGACATACCAAAGAAAAATAATTGAACATGGGATTGAGGAACACAGTATACTCTTCTGAGCATTTTCTTAGAAAAACATTCTCCCTACTTTTAGAATAGATATTTCTGTAGGAAAAATGTGTTCCCTCTGTATTTCTGCATCCCCAGCATGACAACAAAGACAGACATTTCCTTTCTGGCTACCATTTCCTATCTTCAGGTCCATTGGCCTGTGAGGCTTTTCTTCCAGGACACATTGCCTCTCATTCTCTCATTTATCTAAGATGAAAAATGTGCTTTGACAGTTTTCTGAACTGCAGTTTTATTGATGATGTTACTAAAGCCTTTGCCGTTGAGGACCAAACAAGACTCAAAAGTCTACTGACATGTGCCCATCTCAAAACCATCTTTTAGCTCTTGAAAACCAGTGGCATTTTTATGTTTATAAATTGGTTCACATGAATTCCTCAGGGCTTGAGTGACTTTTGAGAGTTACTAGTAGGAGAAAAAAATTATTTTTGCTACCGCATATGCTACTGTAGGGCTTGGCTTGACTCCCCAATTTCTCTTCAGTATTTTGCCTCTTCCAAGTCCTGCTGTTTTTCAGTTTAAACCTGGTTCTTAAGTTAGTTGGCTCTCTTGACGATGTCTAGGTAGAATAAAGCTGTTGGCATGATCCCCCTTTGTTCTTTTTGTTTTCTATAGTTGCCTTTTGTTTTCTTTTTACCGTGTATTAGAACTGATTAGTTAAGCTGATAATATTTGTCCCTGAGTGTCAGATATACCATTCCCAAAACCTGAGAAGCAAATTTGGTTTGCATATCAAATTCTAATTACTTTGTACCCACTCTCACTGTCATTTTCCTTCTGCATTTGAGTAAATCTTGTTCCTAGAACCGGAACTTTCTGGATAGTGACCTTTAATATTTCTTTTTAATGCCTTAGCTTTTGAGTTTGTCATATTTTTGCAGTTTTTTTTTCTCTTCATCAAGTCAAGATGAAACATCCTTACGTAGCCAGGACTTCTTTTCACTTTACTGTTCATTGGCAAGCTCCATCATGCCTAGTTAGCTGAATTGACGCTCACTCTGGGCTTTTCTTATATCCATAGCACAATCAGGATTTGTCCAGTGCTGTTACCAGTGTCACAGTGCCCACTATTCCCACTGACACTAGCTGTTACAGAGCTTGCAGGTAAAGTCTAAAGTAGAAGCTACCTCTTCCCTGGAGATCTTGATACCTTAAAACCAGTTAATGGAGATTATAAAGTAGGATGTGGGAACATTTTGTTTCTATCTCAATTGATATGATGATTAGGTTTAGAGTAACTGATAGGCAATAAAATCAATAGATAAAAATGTATTTTCTCAAAAGAAATACATTTAATAGTAGGAAATTTGGCTTATTAGATTAAAAAGTCTGTTATGACCTTATAGTGAAAAACACAGCATACAGTATAGTGGCTACTTCTCTAGTAGATCAGCTTGAATCCTGCTGACCGATGGTGATTTGCATACTGTCCCAGCATTCTTGAGGCATTCATCCTGAACTGCCTTGCAAACTTGAGATAGCTCCCCACCTTCCCCCAAAAGAAAGGCACTTTAAATAGTATTACTCACAAATTAATGAATGTCCATATTTATACTTGATAATTACTTTTTGCTTTTATCCTCAAATGTACAAATTATATCTGAACTAATGGTAGGGAGGACAGGCATGATTCAAGTTGGGGCTTGGCCTCAAACCCCAAGTAGAGAATTCTGGTGAGCTAGACTGGACCACATGGGAGACCTTTTTTGTTTTGTTTTTATTTTTTATTTTTTGACTTTTTATTTTTTGTAAGCAGATAAACCATATTGACTCAGAACCAAAAAAGGCAGAAACACCTTGTGTCTCTTAAGTCCAAGACTTAAGTCTATGATCTCATCACTCTACTGTAGACCTGTGTATTTCCTTCAGTAAGAAGAACCTGAAAGACTTGAGATAGGCTTTTAATGCCCAGAGTGGAGCCGGCCTGGGTGGCCTTTTCTTAAGTGTTGTGCTGGGCATGGGTGAAAAGAGGGTGGTGGATGAATCAAGCTTCCAGACCCTTTTTATCTCACTGAATGGTAAGAGAGAGAATATACCATATCATATCCATGTACCTTTGGCATTTTTACAGTGTGAAGTTTTCTATTACCACCTATTATGATGTCTTTGAAACAAACCACAAGGTAGATGAAGTCCTAGAGAATGAAAAATTGAGTGTATACCTTTATCTGCCTGAAGAAAGAAGCAGAGGATAGACAGGAGTCAAGCACTCCATCTCTCTTAGGTGGCAGCAGTACCCTGTACATGTTTCTGTCATGATCTTGCCTCACATTGAAAAATCGGGGAAGTAGAAAGTTATAAGGAAAACAGCCAATTATTTCAATGTTTCACATTTCCATTGTAGAAAGCTACCTATCATGTTTCATATTTTACTATTGTTAAATTATCTTTTTTGACAACTGATTTTGTTTTACATTTTAAAGACGTGTTAAATATGCCTGTAAGAGGAATCCTTTCACATTTCAATGTATATGTTTGTACTCCCATAGATCGCTAGTAAGTATGATATATTGGTATGCTATTTGCATGAAGAAAGGTGGGACTACAAACAAGCAAATAAATAAATATATGTATTCCCTTCTCTTAAAGAGATTGTAATCTTGGGATGGAATCATACCTACTAAGAAATAAATCTAGTGGATAATAAATTTGGCTGTAAAAACATTAAAATTGCCTCAGACCGTTCTCATATTATTCCTTCTGTATTATCTAGAAGACCAAATTATTAAATGTGGATTTAATATAGAGATTGTTTTAAAAAGAGAAGAGTAATATGTTAGTTTTATAGTATATTTCTATTGTCTCGTATGAAAATATGTTTTACTGTCTTTTCCTACTTACCATAATATGTTTTAAGGTGTTGTGATTATGTTTTAGTATGTAACATTAGCCGCTCTGAGTTTATAGCTTAGAACTGTTTAAATATTAATAGGCCTATTAACAACTATGAGGCTGTGGAATATGCAGTAGTTAATTTTCTTTATTTTTCCTTTTATGATATACAGTGACTGTTATGATACATATAGTTACATTATATTGAGAAAAATTAAACTATTTTAATTAAATTACATGTTTTGTTGAATTCTCATGTAATAATACTTGTTTTTCAGTAAAGATGGCTATATCTAGCCTTGACTCTGATTCTCAGACACCTATTGGGTGTTCAGCAATTCAGTTCACTTCTGACGGTAATTATCTAGAGTTAGGGCAGACCCTATAGGTGAAAGACAGTCCCACAAGACTGCCCTACTTCAGATGCCACTTGAAAGACGCAGATTGTGCTTCTGGTGAGTACTTCTGACTGACCAGGGTTTTCCTACAACTTCATCTTCAACTTTGATAATTCACTAGGACAACTCTCAGAACTCATCAGAGTGCTTTATTTACTGTTACTGGTTTATTTTAAAGTATACAATTAGTAATAGCCAAATGGAAGTGATCCATAGGTCAAGGGTCGAAGGTGGAGGACAGAGCTCCCATGCCCTCTCTGTGTGTGCCATCTTCCTAGCATATCAGTGTGTTCACCAATTGAGAGGTTCTCTGAATCTCTTAGGTAAGGTTTTTTTATAACCTAATCTCAAGCACCCACCTCTCCTGACATATGGGGGTGGAGTTAAAAGTTCCCACCCTTTAGTCAAGTGTTTGGTCTTTCTGGTGACTAACCTCATCCTGAGGCTATCAGCTACCCTCCCACACCTACCCCATATACTCAGATATGGTACAAAGAAGCTTGTTGTGAATAACAAAAGACATTCCTATCATTCAGGAAATTCCAAGGGTTTTAGGCCCTCTGTGCCAGGCACCCAGGATGAAGACCACATTTATATTTTTAATATCACCCTCGTAATGAAAAAAAAATGTATGTAGATAGAATTTTAGATCTTAACTTTCAGCAGTTGCTGTGCACCTGTGTCAATTATCTGGCCACAGTTTAACTTCTGAGTATAGTGGCTTGTCTTTCTGAGCAGTATTGTTGTAGCTTGTATAAGACCATCATCACCACCGAGCATGGTGGCTCACACCTGTAATCCCAGCACTTTGGGAGGCCGAGGCGGTTGGATCACCTGAGGTCAGAAGTTCGAGATCAGCCTGGCCAACATGGTGAAACCCCGTCTCTACTAAAAATACCTAAAAATACAAAAATTAGCCAGGCATGGTGGCGCATGCCTGTAATCTCAGCTACTTGGGAAGCTGAGGCAGGAGAATCGCTTGAACCTGGGAGGCGAACCGAGATCATGCTGTTGTACTCCAGTCTGGGTGACAAGAGCAAAACTCCATCTCAAAACAAAACAAAACAAAACATCACTATCTGATACTGTCAATTCATCTTATACTAGTTGAGTTTAGGGAGTCCTTAGTCCTTAGTACACAAAGGGGTTGTACTCCAGAAGTTCATTTATTATTTAAGTTTAAAAATTAGAGCACATTTTCTATGGAAACAGTGGGGTAAGTGGTAAATGTTTTTTATATCAGTCCATTGGCTTTGACAAAATAGGGAAGTAAGTCCAAAAGAGGATCGAGTGTGTTTGGGTGTTGGCGGATGAAGAGGTTCATGATTCCTTTGAAAGACAGGGAAATGAGAGCATTTTTGTTATTTGGGGTCAGCCTATAGATGTCTGAGGAAAGATGTGTATTATGGGCTGAATTGTCCCCCCTGCCTCCCACAATTCATATGACAAAGCTCTGACCACTCATGTGACTGTATTTGGGGATAGGGCCCTTAAGTATGTAATCGAGGTTAAATAAAGTCAGATGGGGCCCTGATTCAATGACTGCTATCCTTAGAAGAAGAGAAAGATCCACAAGGAAAAGGCCATCTGAGAACACAGCAAGAAGGTGGCCATCTGCAAGCCAAGGAGAGAGGCCTCAGGAAAAATTAAACCTGCTGGCACCTTGACTCCTTTCAGCCATCTGAACTATGAGAAAATACGTTTTCATTGTTTAAGCCATCTACTTTGCGATATTTCATTGTGGCAGCCCTGGCAAACTAATACAGCATGTTCCAATCCATGCTCTAGGGGACACTAGTATCTAGGAAATATTAATAGATATTTCTTAAAAACAGTTCTTAATACGTTTGGTCAATAATCTATGATAGGTTCTTCATTTAAGGATTGACAATGCATACCCATGTATTAAACATTCCCAGAAGCCTTGAAGCAAAGAAATGTGTTTAATTTTTTTTTCAGTTTCAACATTTCCCAAATATATTTATCTGTGGATCATCCATGCCCTCTCTTTTAAATGAAATGTATGTTTCCCATCAAGTCTCACTCATTTTAGAAGAAGAAAGTAGGTGGCAGGAGAGAAAGCCCCGTCCTTCTTTATCTCTGTTAGAGATGTGCTATGGTTTCATATTCCTGTATTTCAACAATAGGTAGAATAAATACCTCATTAGTAGATCCTGAGTATTAGATGCCCACCAGTATAAAATTGAGAAACAGAATAGGCAAAGGAGATACGATAGATGTCTTGTAGGTAGGATATAGGAGCTTTGACATCTTATTTTAGCTTTTATTCAGAAAGTAATTGTGGTTGATTAGTTTTATCAATATGACTGTAGTAACTATTAACTGTAACTATTATAACTATAGAATAACTATAATTATCCTAAAAAAGATAAAGATTTTTGGCTTTGATGTTTTAATTGAAGTTAAATTCATATAACATTAACCATTTTAAAGTGAACAGTTCAGTGGCATTTAGTACATTCATTCACAATGGTGTGTTACCACTACCTGTATCTAGTTCTAAAACATTTTCATCACCTCAAAATAAAATCCTGTACCCATTAAGCAGTTCACAATGGTGTGTTACCACCACCTGTATCTAGTTCTAAAACATTTTCATCACCTTAGAATAAAATCCTGTAACCATTAAGCAGTGACTTAACCATTGTCTCTTCTCCCCAACCCCTGCCATATACCAATTTGTTCTGTCTGTATGGAATTACCTCTGATATTTCATATAAATGTAATTATAAATTGTGACCCTTTCTATCTGGCATCTTCGCTTACCATAATGTTTTTGAGGTTCACGCATGTTGTAGTATGTATCAGTACTTCATTTCTTTTGATAGCTACATGATACTCCATTGTATTTATATACCACCGTTTGTTTATCTGTGCACCTCTTTGTGATCGTTTGGGTTATTTCCACCTTTTGGCTAATGTTACTAATGCTGTGAACATTCATGTAGAAGTATTTGTTTGAATACTTATTTCACTTCTTTCGATCTAAGAGTGGAATTACTAGGTCATACAGTAATTTGATGTTTCACTTTTTGAGGAATCACCAAACTGTTAAGCATAGTAACCAAACCATTTTACATTCCGACGAGCAATATGCAAGGGTTCCAATTTTCACATCTTCATTAACACTTGTTATTTTCCTTTCATAAAAAATTATCCTTTCTAATACATGTGAAGTAGTAGTATTTTCTTTAGGACTAATGTTGTGGAGCACACTTTTTATGTGTTCATTGGCCATTTGTGTATCTTCTTTGGCAAAACGTCTGTTCAAGCCTTTAGCTCATTTAAAAGTTGGGTTGTTTGTATCTCGTTTCTTGAGTTATAAGAATTTTTTATATATTCTGCATACCAAACTCTTATCAGATATATTGTTTGCATATATTTTCTCTTATTCTATAGGTTGTCTTTTCACCTAATAATGTTCTTTAATGCATAAAATTTTTAATTTTCACCAAGTCCAATTTATCTTTTTTTTCTTTTGTTCTTTATGCTTTTAATGTCATATTTAAGAATGTAATGCCAAATCCCAGGTCATAAAGATTTACTTCTATGTGTTCTAAGGTTTAGCTCTTACATTTAGGTTATTGGTCTTTTTTGAGTTAATGTTTGTATACAGTGTGACGTAAAGGTCCAACTTTATTCTTTTTCATGTGGATGTCCAGATTTCCCAGTACTATTTGATGAAGAGACTGTTCTTTCTCCTGTTGTTGTTGTTTTTAAATCTCTTTATTAAAAAGTTAGCCTAGTAAAGTAGTTAAGATCACTGGTTCAAGAGACAGAATGGTTGGATCCAACCAAATCTGGTGTTACTACTTGCTATCTATGTGGCTTTGGGCAAGTCACTTAGCCTTCCTAACATTGAGTTTTCTTAATTAAAAAATACTTTAATTCTTCAAAAGGTAGGTCTAAAGAATCCAAATGAATTCAGATAAATTAGAAAGATACTATAATTGAGAGGATACTTGCAGTTATCAGAGCATTTGTATGTTATTTACTCCTTACTATCCTTTTTTATGAAAAAGAAAGCTGAGGTTTCGAGTATTAACTAACT
This sequence comes from Homo sapiens, assembly GCF_000001405.40. NCBI lineage: Eukaryota > Metazoa > Chordata > Mammalia > Primates > Hominidae > Homo > Homo sapiens. Next base: position 87,239,872 of record NC_000003.12, read on the forward strand.
CTTCCAAGGTATAATCATGATGATCAAGTGGCTGAGGTGAGATTCAAATCCAGATCTGCCTCATTGGAAAGTCTGGTGTTTCAGTCTGTTAATATTTACTGCAGAAAACCAAACAGATTTAATAAACATATAACCTGTCTTCCTTCCTGAATTTCATATAGTATTAGAGTAAGGAAACATGAAAAGGGTGTGTGTGTGTGTGTGACATATATATGTGCTATATTAAACACTATACTAATCAGTTCTGTAGGGGAATATTTTATTGTGATGTAATACTTTTGGTTAAATCTCAGACTGTAGCATATTTGCATTCACCTGCTATCAATTCTTTATATTTTATTAATATTTATAATTCAGGTTTTAATATTTAATTTTTTAGCATATTAAAGTAAAAAAAATATTTTGACATCTAGTAAATCTAAGGGTTTTTTTTTGTTTTTTTTTTTTGGAGACAGAGTTTCGCTGTTGTTGCCCAGGCTGGAGTGCTGGAGTGCAATGGCATGATCTCGGCTCAACGCAACCATCACCTCCCAGATTCAAGCGATTCTTCTACCTCAGCCTACCGAGTAGCTCGGATTACAGGCATGTGCCACCACACCCGGCTAATTTTCTATTTTTAGTAGAGATGGGGTTTCTCCATGTTGGTCAGGCTGGTCTCGAACTCCTGACCTCAGGTGATCCACCCAAAGTGCTGCGATTACAGGCATGAGCCACTGCGCCCAGCCAATATAAGATTTTTTTAAATCATGATCTGTGAATCCAGTATTTTAAATGATATTGAAAATTTTACAACCCATAAATTTAGGTTTCTTTTGTGATTCTCCTAGATGTAATAAAGGAACAGAATCGAGAGTTACGAGGTACACAGAGGGCTATAATCAGAGATCGAGCAGCTTTAGAGAAACAAGAAAAACAGCTGGTAAGTAGAACGTTAAATTTCAGTTTAACTTTTCAAACAAATTTGGAAATTACTGTAGGAATAATTAGCTAACTAGGAAGAAGGCACATGGCAGGTGGTAAGTGATTTACTTAATTAAGAAATGGCAGTTAATGATTTTTGTATCTTCTGCTTACCTTTGTTTATTGTGTCATTCTGCTGACTTTTATTGGGATTCTGTGTATTCTGTTGATTATAGAATCAAATTATTCTTCAGTTTGTGAGAGTCATAAGTATCTAGGAAGAAAGATTGCTCAAGACAGAACCACCTTCTTAGTTAACAGGAAGATGAAATAGTCATGGAAAACAAAGGAAGGTTATTTTAAAAATTACATTAACTCATAGGAGTCTTGCTTGATATTTTAAAGATCGTTGTGTCTTTGACAATGAATGTACTTTTATAATAGACTGGTCTGGTTCATTTTTAAATATTCTTTATGCTATGTTTTTATGTGTATGTTGCCTCAAATCTTTAAAAAATATCTTTATTGAGGGATAATTCACATGCAATAAACTGTACATATTTCAGGTGTACAATTTGATAGGTTTTTGACATATGTATAAACTCGTGAAACCATTATTACAGTTAAGGTAATGAACATACCCATCTTCCCTAAAAGTTTCCTTATGCCCCTGGAAATCCCTCCTACGCATCCCTGCCTGTCTCCCTTTTTCCTGGTGAAGCAAATACTGATCTGTCTCTGTAGATTACTTTTCATTTCTAGAATTTTATATAAATGGAATCATATAATATCAACTCCTTTTTTATGGCATCTTTCATTCAGCATAATTATTTTTAGGTTAATTAGTGCTGTTTCATGCATTAGTGTTAATTACTTTTTATTGATGAGTATTATTCAATTGTTTGAATATTTCACAATTTGTTTATCTGTTTACCAGCCAGTGGACATTTGAGTTGTTTCCAGGTATTGGTTATTTGAATAAAGTTACTTTAAACATTCAATCAAAGTTTTTGTGAACATGGTTTTCATTTTTCTTGGGTATATTCCTGAGAGTGAGATTGCTGGGTCATAGGGTAAATGTATGTTTAACTGCTAAAAAATTAAAATTAAAGTGCTGAAAAATTTGCAGAGTGCCTGTGATGTTTTCTCTTCCCATTAGCAATGTATGAAAGTTACAGTTGTTTCACATACTTGGAGTTGACAGTCTTTAATTTTAGCCATTTTAGTGGGTGTATAGTACGTTGTCATTTTAAATTTCATTTTCATAATCACTAATGATGTTGAACATCTTTTTATATACCTGTTTACCATTTACTTATCTTTTTTGCCAGAGTGTCTATTCAAATATTTTACCCATTTTTTCATCAAATTGTTTTCTTACTTAGTTACAATAGATTTTTATATATTGTGGAAACAAATGCTTTATTAAGTATATGTTGTACAAATATTATTTCCAAGTTCTTAACCTTGTCCTTCATTTTCCTAAGTGTGTTTTGAGGAATGAAAGGGTTTTTTGGGTTATTTTGATCAAGTACAATTTTTTATTCTTTTATTCTTTTTTTCAATGTTGGAGTTTCTTACAAACGTCAATTAGGTCAAATTGGTGATAGTGTTTTCTAAGTCTTCTGTATCATTGCAGATCTTCTGTCTACTTGTCACAATTAGAGTGTATACATAAGAGTGGAGTTGTTAATATTTCTCATCCTTTTTTCTGTGATTAGTACTTTTAGTGTACTACTTAACTTTTAGTGTACTAGCCACGAGTGCCTAACTCATAGTCAGTAATATTTTCTCCTATGTTTTCTTCTAGAAATATTACAGTTTTAGTTCTTACATTTAAAACTGTGAACCATATTGAATTAAGTTTCAGTATGGTGTCAGGTAAGGGTAGAGGTTCACTTTTTGCATATGGAAAGTCAGTTGTTTCAACATAATTATTGCTGACACTTTCCCTTGTCGTCTTTGTGGAAAATCAGTTGTCCAAACGTAGGCATCTTTCTGGGCTCTGTTCCATTGATTTACATGACTGCTTTTAAGCTAATACCGCATTATTTTTGTTAATAAAGGTTTAAATAAGTCTAAAAGTTAGACAGCATTAATCCTTCCACTTTGTACTTCTTTTTTCATAATTGTTTTGGCTATTTTAGGTGCTTTGCATTTCTATAGGAACTTTAGAATACAAATCAATTTCTACAAAAAAGATCAGATTTTGATTGGGATTACATTGAATAGTTACATATTAACATTGTGTCATAAGACATATTAACATAATGTTAGTTAACATTAACAGAAGACATATTAACATTATGTCTTCTGACCTATGAAGTTATTATGTATCTCTCCATTATTTAGATCTCCATTTATTTAGATCTTCAACTTTCCTCAGCAGTGTTTTGTACTTGTTGAAATGGTTGTGTGGTTTTCTTTTTTAGTCTGTCAATACAGTGAATTACTTTGATTATCAAAAATTGAATCAACCTTTTGTTCCAGGGACACACCCCACTTGGTAATGATGTATTTTTTTTAATGTATTTTCAGTTTGCTGAAATTTTAAGAATATCTGCACCTGTGTTCATAAAACATACTGATTTGTAGTTTTCTTTTTGTGTGGTGGGTTTTTTTTGTTTGTTTGTTTGTTTGTTTTGAGATGGAGTTTCACTTTTATTGCCCAGGCGGCAGTGCAGTGTTTTTATTTGATTTTGATATCAGGGTAATAATGCTGGCCTAGTAATGCTGGCCCCATAGCTTGAGTTGGCAAGGGTCCCATACTCTTTTCTTTACTGGAAGGGTTTGTGTAGTTCTTCCTTAAATGTGTGATAGGATTCATCAGTAAAGTCATCTGTGAGTGAAGATTTTCTTTGTGGGTAGGTTATTAAACTACAAATTCTGTTTTAAAATAGATATAATAGATTAGGTTATCTGTCTTATTGAATGAGCTTTGGTGGCTTTAGTCTGTCAAGTAACTTGTCCATTTCTACTAAATTTTAAAATATACTGATATATTGTTTATAATATGCCCTTACTATCCTTTAACATCTTTAGGATAAGAAGTGATGCCCTTCTTTGCATTCTCGGTATTTGTAACTGTGTTCTCTCTCTCTCTGTCTCTTTCTCAGTTGTTTTCATCATCAGCCTGGCTAGTGGTTTATCAATTTGATTGATCTCTTATTTAAAAAAAGAAAATAACTTTTGATTTTTTGTTTCATTGATTTTTCTATATGGATTTTTCTTTGTTTCTGTTTTTGTTTTTTGTTTTTTTTTTTTTGTTTTTTGTTTTTTGTTGTTTTTTTTTTTGAGATGGAGTCTTGCTCTGTCACCAGGCTGGAGTGCGGTGGCGTGATCTCAGCTCACTGCAACCTCTGCCTCCTGGGTTCAAGCGATTCTTCTGCCTCAGCCTCCCAAGTAGCTGGGACTACAGGTGTGTGCCACCACGCCCAGCTAATTTTTGTATTTTTAGTAGAGAGGGGTTTCACCATGTTGGCCAGGATGGTCTTGATTTCTTGACCTCATTATCTGCCCGCCTCAGCCTCCCAAAGTGTTGGGATTACAGGCGTGAGCCACAGATTTTTCTTTCCTAGTTTATATATATATATTTTTTGTTTATCTTATTTCCCTACTTTGTGTTTCATTTGTACTTCTTTTTTCTATGTTATGTTGAAGCTTATGAAGTATTCATTTTTTTTCAAATACAAACTTCAATGCTGTAAACTCTTCTAAGAGCAGTTTTAACTGCAACTCACAAATTTTTATGTTGCATTTTCACTTAAGTTCAAAATATTATTTTCTCTGTGGTTTTTTCTTTAACCCATGACTTATTTAGAACTATTATTTTTAAATTTCTGCTTATTTCTGATTTTCTTTTCATATTTTTCTTATGAATTTTGAGTTTCATTGTAGTTAGAGAGCATACTTTGTGTGATTCCAGTCCTTTAAAATTTATTGAGCCCTGTTTTCTGATGTAGAATATGGAATACTTTGGTGATTGTTTAGTGACACTTGTAAATAATGTATATTCTGCTTTCAATGTTGGAGTTTCCTACAAATGTCAGTTAGGTCAAATTGGTGATAGTGTTTTTTAAGCCTTCTATATCACTGCAGATTTTCTGTCTACTTGTAACAATTAGACTTTGCTTAAGAGTGGAGTTGTTGATATTTCTCATGCTAATTATGCATTTGTCTATTTCTCCTTTCAGTTCTGTCCATTGTGTTTTATATATTTTGAAGCACTTTTATTAGGTACATACACATTGAAGATTGTCCTGGTATCTTTATGTATTGATTCCCTTATATCATTATGAAATACCCCTTTTTATTTCTGGTAGTATTCCTTGGTCTCAAGTTTATTTCATCTCTATTAATATAGCCACTCTAGATTGGCAGGTTTTGATAAGTACGTATATAGCATATATTTTTCTGTCCTTTTACTTGAGTTTGTTTTTGTATAAGTTGGTGTCTTGAGATAGCATATAGTTGGGTTTGCTTTCTTATCTAATCCGACAGTCTGTCTTACAGTTGAGGTATAAAATGGACTATTTTATTTAATGTAATTATCTATATTACTAGTTTTAGATCTATCACTTTGCCCTTTATTGCTCTGTCCCACCAACTCTTTGCTTGTATGTTTTTTCCTTTTCTCTTACCTTCTTTTGGATAGTCTTTTTTTTTTTTTTAATTTTCTTCTGGGCTCTACATGTGCACTGTTTTGTAGACTTGCTTTGTATTCATGGATGGAGATACTAGTTCTGTCCTTTCCATGTAAACATGTAGACTAAATTGCCTTCTTAGATTTCTCTTTTGCTCTATGACTTTATAATAGCTTCTTCCCCTCTTCATGATCGGGGACAAAGGGTCTGTTATGTGTATTAGATCTGTTCTTCTGAAATAAATTATTGACGACTACCCTTTAATAATTTTATTTTCTTTTGTTTGTTTCTTCTCTTAGGAATTAGAAATTAAGAAAATGGCCAAGATTGGTAATAAGGAAGCTTGCAAAGTTTTAGCCAAACAACTTGTGCATCTACGGAAACAGAAGACGAGAACTTTTGCTGTAAGTTCAAAAGTTACTTCTATGTCTACACAAACAAAAGTGATGAATTCCCAAATGAAGATGGCTGGAGCAATGTCTACTACAGCAAAAGTAAGTGAGAGCTTTTATATTCATAGATTTTTAATTTTATCAACGATATTTAAATATCAATATTGAAAGCAGATTTAAAAGCACCTCCTGGTGTATATGTGATACAAAATGTGTGTAATTTTTAGTAAAATGAGTTATAATACTAGATAATCCAGGTAATTACTTCTAGATTCTTTATTGATATGTTTTAATACAAAATTTCTTGTTTGAGGACAATCCGTTTTCTTTCTTCTTTTCTTTTTTTTTTGAGATGGAGTCTTGCTCTGTCACACAGGCTGGAGTGCAGTGGCAAGATTTTGGCTCCCTGCATCCTCCGCCTCCTGGATTCAAGTGATTCTCCTGCCTCAGCCTCCTGAGTAGCTGGGATTACAGGCATGCACCTCCACACCTGGCTAATTTTTGTATTTTTAGTAGAGACGAGGTTTCACATGCTGGCCAGGCTGGTCTTAAACTCCTGATCTCAGATGATTCGCCTGCCTCAGCCTCCCAAATTGCTGGGATTACAGACATGAGCCACCGCGCCCAGCCAACAATCCCTTTTTCTAAAGATCACATGTAGCTTCTAATTTTATGAAATTGACTTTTAAAAGTATTTGCTTTTTTCCCCTCAAATTGTCAGAAGATTTTTGACCTTCTTGTCTCATTATATGTTCTGACTACTTTTGAGTGATAATTTCCTCTTGATTCATTTTTATGAATGTGTGAGAAGGTCACATGAATAATAAGAAAGATTTATCAGAATGTTTGTCTAGAACTTATGTTTAACTTACTGTATACACACACAAACACATTTTTCTATATCTGTAATCAGTGTTTTTACTGTAGTTTAAAGGACTCTGAGTCTTTCAGTCATTTAATAAATAAAGCACTCCTTGATACTGTTAGTCATCAAAAGAGGTTAAGACAGAAACTGTGCTTTCACAAATTTTATAGTTCAATTGGAGGCTTAAGATATGTCTCTTGGAACCTACCCACTATATATCAGTCATGCTAAGCTTTATGAACTGCACAGACCTTTGAGTAGGGTGATCTAAAAGACATTGCATAAGACAAAGGTTTTAAGAATATCATTAGATGTTAGCTGTACAGAAGAGGGATTGTGAATATGAAGTGCAAAAGAAAAAAAATAGCCTCAGAGGAAAGTACAAGCTTTATGTTAGGGAAATGGTATACACAGGCAATTTATGTTATTCATAGTAGTTATGTCCCATGAAGTCGGGAACACTGAAATAGTGCATATTGAACCATTGCTCCCAGGGGAAATACTGAGTTATATTTCTGTGAGCCTTTGCCCACAACGTTTTTTCATTACCTAATCTGTACCTAACTAACCTTGTGTTTCTGTTTAAAGATGCCATATTTAATATATAGCTGATTTGCTCATATTGAGCTTATGACTAATGGGACTATACCTCATTCTGGAACAAAGCTTATCTAACGTGTATTTTCTCCATAAAGCACATCATGTCCTTCTTTCACTTAGGAACACTGGGCAGCATGTTAATACAATGCTTGGGGATCATTTTTTATCAGTGAAATCACAAACAAAAAGCACAAAAGTGAGAAAAATGTGACACTAAGTAAACTATGGAAAGGACACTTAATTTGCAGTAAGAAGGCAGAACATCCCCTTGTTTGACCTCAGCTGGAAATGTGCATGTTGGGTGACTCACATGTTTTGCTGCTTTGTAAATGTCACAGATGAGCATTAAAACACTGCAGGTATTCATTTGAGGTTACAAATAAATTTTAATGAGTAGGTAAATTCTCAGATATGGAATCTACAAATAAGGAGTATTAACTGTAATTGCATTTTAGACAGCAGAGCACATGAAAGTCGAGTGCTGTGCAAACATACAGTTAGAAGGAATAAATTCAATCTTTGATCGCAGAGTAGGTTGATTATACTTAACAAAAATATATTGTACTTGGGTGGTGGACACCCTAAACACTCTGACTTGATCACTACGCATTATATACATGTAACAAAATTTTATATGTAACCAATACATTTGTGCAAATAAAGAGTAGAATGCATCCATTTTGTGAAGTACAAAAAGTACAGTGACACATTATAATCTTTAAAAAGAGAAAGTTTCAAGCCTCAAGCCGGGCATGGTGGCTCATGCCTGTAATCTCAGCACTTTGGGAGGTCAAGGTGGGCAGATCAGTTGAGGCCAGGAGTTCAAGACCAGTCTGGCCAACATGGCAAAACCCCACCTCTACTAAAAATACAAAAATTAGCTGGGCGTGGTGGTGGGCAACTGTAATCCCAGCTACTTGGGAGGCTGAGGCAAGAGAATTGCAGAAACCTGAGAGGCAGAGGTTGCAGTGAGCTGAGATCACGCCACTGCACTCCAGCCTGGGTGACAGAGAGAGAGACTGTCTCAAAAAAAAAGAGAGAGAGAGAACGTTTCGGTATACATTTTGTTTCTCAGTTACCTTATTCTTTTTGAGTGTCTGATTTTTGAGACAGTCTCGCTCTGTTGCCCAGGCTGGAGTGCAATGGCGTGATCTTGGCTCACTGCAACCCCTGCCTCCAGGTTCAAGTGATTCTCCTGCCACAGCCCCCTGAGTAGCTGATATTGCAGGCATGAGCTACCATGCCTGGCTAATTTTTGTATATTTAGTAGAGATGGGTTTTCACCGTGTTGGCTAGGCTAGTCTCAAACTCCTAGCCTCAAGTGGCAGGAGAAAACATAGCACATTTAAGGAATAAAAGATGTGTGTCTAGAGGGCAATAGTGCAAAGTTTAATCCATGTTAGTTCTCATAGGCATATTATGGAATTTAGCTTTTAGCTAAATTTAACAGCACTGGAAAGCCACTAGAGAGTTAGGTGTGTTGGGGGTGGGGAGGGATGGGGGGAATGCAGTGTCATACTTGGAAAGAATACTTTGGCTACTGCATTGCATGCCATTGAGAAAGGACTGTTTGCTTCATATCTTTGAAATCAACATGTTTCTATTGTATGGATTCTTTTAATATACTGAATTAGCTATATAATGCATACATATATGTTTATCATCTATGTATTATGCATCATATATATAAAAATGCAGTCATGTCTGGCTTAACAATAGGGATACATTCTGAAAAATTCATCTTAGGCAATTTCATCATTGTGTAAACATTACAGAGTATACTTACATAAACCTAGGTGATACAGCCTACTACGCATCTAGGCTATATGGTATAGCCTGTTGGTCCTAGGCTACACTGTACTGGATTTTGTAGGCAGTTGTAACATAATGGTTTAAGTACCTGTGTATCTAAACATAGCTAAACATAAGAAAGGTATAGTAAAAATGCAGTATTATAATCTTATGGGGCCACTGTCGTATATGCTGTGGGTAATTAACCAAAATGTAAGCACATGAAACATGATTGTAAATAAATTTTGGTGGTACTAGAGAACATGAATCTCTTAATGAAATGAGTTGTGAATATATAATGTAAGAGAATTGTTTTCACATAGTTTTTCAAAGCTCACATTTTTATATTTTTTTAAACCATGGTTTAAAATGTGTTAATAGATTAAGTATATATGCTAGTATATCTTCTAATCTTTTTTAATTTAGACATTAAAATTTTAATGAAAGTTTTTATAAAAATTAAATTTAAAAATTTATTGACATTACCTACTTGCCACAAAAACAGGTAAATTTTATTTTCCTATTTGAATAGCAAAGGATTTTATGCTGATAATGTTTTTTATTACATAATTCCTTGCCTGCTGTTCAGATGAGGTTTTTCACACTGGTCTTTATTATATAGATGTTAAGCAGATGGTTTCCAAATGACTATTTCATTTTTTTCTAGAATATTTAACAGTCTATGTTTGATTACGGCAGGATGGATATCTTTTTAAAGCCTATCTATATTTGATGTGTTCCCTTTTGACTTATTTCATAGTAAAATTTTCATAATTATGGAAGTAACATGAATCTTGTAAATACATTTAAAGACAATGCAGGCAGTTAACAAGAAGATGGATCCACAAAAGACATTACAAACAATGCAGAATTTCCAGAAGGAAAACATGAAAATGGAAATGACTGAAGAAATGAGTAAGTTTAATAAATTATAATGAAATTTATAGTTTTCTCATCTTTGAATTAGCCATTTATTTACTATGTCTCATATTCTCATTCACGAAGGCAGAAATGATGAAACCAAAGATGATAGGCTCAAAATTCTATTTGTATTTAACTGAGGGAAGGTATAAACTATGTTATGCCACATCACTGTTACACATTGGCTTCAGCAGTTTTACTTTACTGATTAGTATACCAAAACCAACTTGTGAGGTACATAATTCATGATATAAGTCAAGCAGTTTCAGAGTTATGTCAACTCTTTGATACTGTAGAAGATTTGCCTGTATTAGAGGTAGAGGTAATGGAGCTCTTTTTTTGTTTGTTTTTATTCTCACTTTTTTTCCCTCTCACAAGAGTCTTCTAATATTTAGTTTTTGTCTTTTTGAATATAAACTAATTACATGTTATGGTGGAAACACAGAGAATACAGAGACAGAGCATATAAAAATTACCACAGCACTCAGATGTAGTTACCGTTAATGTTGTATGTTTATTTTCTGTTTTTTTCTCATAATCTTGATCTACAAAAGTGAGATCACCTTACATGTACAATTATGAATATCTTGCTTTTTAAAAACATAATAGTATAACATAAGCAGATACTCATGACCTTGACATTAAATCTTCTCTGAAGTCTTTTTAAAAAATAGCTTTAATATCATTTAACATCAGTATACCCTAGTTTATCAAACCATTCTTATGTTGGTCAATAAGATTGTTGTAAAATTTTTAACGTGTTTGATAATCCTTTGAAAAATATGTGTAAGTATTATCTTTGACTGAATTTCTTAAATCTCCTCAGAATATTAACTTTTATAAGGCTGTTGGTTTGTACTACCAATTCTTTCCGGAAGACTACACCAATTTTTATTTCACCAATAATGAATGACCGACCCTTCATAGCACCCTCGTCAACATTAGATTATTGCTTATATTATGTCAAAAACTGACATCATTGTTTTGAAAGTATGTTTTCTAAATGTTTTACAACTATAAAAAATGAAAAATAGAAAATTAAATGTTTTACAACTATGTAGGGATATACCAGTTTAGCTTTGCTTATCTGCTATCATTTTAGTTAACAGCATTTAATAACATTTAGTGTATAAAATAGTATCTAATTAAGTTACCAGGGTTAATAAACTCATTGTTCTAGTATTCTATTTCAGTATACCTATTTTTATTCTTGGTTGTAATAATACTGTATGTTTATCTTTGGCAGCTCCAAAAGTTCTGTAGTTTTTACTTCAGGCCTTTAGTTTGAAAACTATGAGTTTTTTCAGGTTGTTGAAGCATCATCAATGATTTTTTAATGACTGAGAGAATTGTTATTTATATAATGATCTTAGTACTTAACATGTGGTTTCCAATGCCAGTGATGGCAGTTCTCAGCAGAGAAATTAACTTTTCCATTAAGCTATAATGAAAAGAATCAATAACCCTTACTTAATCAGATATCTATAATACCTACTGCAGTTGTTCTCATTTGTATTTTAATACATTACAAGTTAGTCTGTAATATAATTTAATGCATAGCAAGTTAGTCTGTAGTATAATAGTAGTTATTGATGGTTACTCATTTTTTTAATAACGTAGTAAAATACACTAACAATATTTTCATCCAAAAATAAATTCAAGGTGTAAATCAGCATATCTTTTTCAACTTGGAATTTATATTCTGCCATGTTGCTCCAAAGCTTGTTCACAGTTAAGACACAAGATCGTTGGGAAATCTTATACTATACCTCTGATGAGCATTATTACACTTTTTCTGAAAGCATTCTTCTTTGTTAGTCTGATTACACCTTTCTAATCTTTTTCTTCTATCTACTTCATTCATTTTTTTTTTTCTGCAACTACTACTTTACTTATACTTATAAACTCTGCATGACCTGGACTTTGCATCTCCTGTATTACTTTGCTAAGTTACATCTGAGTAACATACCGCGAAATTATTTTTTTCCAGAGGCTTACCTTTGAGCATATTGACTAAATTCCTTTAGGGGTTTTCTGCTTACTACAAAATAAAATCCCCAAATTTTAAATAAAAGACAAGAAGGAAGTATTTAGCTTATGAAACATCTTCAGTTTATACCCTAGATGACTGACTACCTTATGTGACATTTCCAGGGAGTCATGGCTCATAGATTATAGGTTTGTTACTATAGCAGTCCTAAACCAGGACACCCTGGTAGGAGCATTGCATAGACAAGGACTCTCTTGCTAGTAAATATTAAGCCTATTTGCCAGGAGCCCCAGTTACCAACATGATTACAAGGAAATCACACTAGGTTACCTGTCTTTCTTTTTCTGGGGACATTCCCCAGATACCAGGAGAGGAACAATTTTAGGCTAGCTGCTTTAATTTTTTTTTTTTCTCCCAGACATTTGCCATTTATGTACCTTAAATAACAACCAAACAGAAGAACTTATTCCTTCTTGCTTGTGTCCCTGTTGCCTCACAGTGACTTTGCCCAGGCCATTCCATTTATGTATCTCTGTGTGGTTAAACCCTACGTATCCTTGCCAGATTACTTCACATGTAACTTCCTCCCAGTTGGATGTGATCTCCTTCTCTGAAACTTTATAATCATTTATCTTTTCTCTTACCACAATCTGTTTCTTAATTTTTTTCTTTTATACTCAAGTGTCAACTACCCGAGGTCTTTGTTTTTCTCCGTCTATATACCCATTGTATTTATATTGCATTTCAGGCACTAGATGCCCAAGATTCAAAGATAAAAAAGACATAATCTCAATCCATCAAAAATTGCTTCCCCACAACTCAACATGATGCATTCTATACAGAGTGCTTTCAATAAATATTTTGGGGAGGGAAGAGAGGTAGAAAAGGTTGTAGCAGTAATAATCCTGTTAAATCGGACATCATTCTTTGGGCAAATTTAATAAAATATTGAACCTTAGATTTCTCTAGAATATTCTACCTGTATCTTGAATGTAAATTTAAGAGGTATAAAAATATGATTATAGATATAAAAAGAGTAAATCGTTTTCCAGATATTAACAGGATATTTATTCTTGCATATTCTTCCTCTACTAGCTTAATGGATACAATTTGTGAAATAATATTTAAAAATCTTAAACATGTAGCTGTGACTATCACATTTTTTTGTCTATTAGAATTAATTTTTTAAAAAAGAGTAGACTTGTTTGCTATAAGATAATTTGTGTTGAAATGAACATTATTCCAGATTTAATGGCTCAAATATGTATTTATCAATTTACTTCACTGACATTTTGAAGGATTTTTTTAGTTTGTTCACTGAGTTTGCCTTCTGTAATATACAAAATAGTTGGGCTAGACTGTAAATATGTAAGTCTAACCTGAAGTTTGTTTGAAAGTAACTGCTTTGCTCCTTCTCCCATATCCCCTAGTCAATGATACACTTGATGACATCTTTGACGGTTCTGATGACGAAGAAGAAAGCCAGGATATTGTGAATCAAGTTCTTGATGAAATTGGAATTGAAATTTCTGGAAAGGTATGAACATCATCTTTTCTTAGTTGGAAATAGTTTCTGCCTACCACGTTTGTCACTTAATTGTTTTGTTTTTACTAGGAGGTGCATGGTTTTTATTTCTGTTTCAAAAGTAAATTAAACAGACCTCTTTACAGCACATCCTGTATGTCCTAGTCCAAATGTTTCCTAATGCACGTTTGTCTTTTTCATTGTTTAATATAGATGGCCAAAGCTCCATCAGCTGCTCGAAGCTTACCATCTGCCTCTACTTCAAAGGCTACAATCTCAGATGAAGAGATTGAACGGCAACTCAAGGCTTTAGGAGTAGATTAGTCAAAAGAAGTCATACTATTTTGCTTACTTATAATTATGTAGTATAAACCAAGCACAGTGCAGATTTCTTTTACAAAACACATGTATTTTGCAAAAAAAAAAAAAATGAAGACCATGAGTGAACAGTTGTTTCCTAACCCATGGCTATTTAGAATCTTTTGCCAAAGAATGACAATGATGCAAAAATGGGAACAGTTTGGATTTTAATTAGAACTGTTTAGGAGTGATGATGTGTAAAAAGTTGACTTCTCTTTTGCATGGCACAGAGAAATTATATTCCTTACTTCATGTCAGTTTATGTTCTAAATCTTTTTCACTGAATATAAAAATCTTGTTAAATGCCATTAGGCACCAACTTAAAGAGGGTTGTAAAAATATTAAAAGTATATCGTTAATTCTGTATCTGTTGCTTGTCTTTTGTAAGTGATTATGTGTTATGACCATAGGTGGTTACAGCTGCCAAATTATTTTTAAATGGTCAAAAAGAAGAGTGCTATTTAAACATCTGTCTTAAACAAAAACTGTCATAACTTTTCTTTTTTCTTTTTCCATTAGGAGAACATTCTAGTTGGTAAATTTCAAAATGTGCTTGACACCTGCCTTAAATAGCACAGACCTATTGTGCACATCTTTAAATTATTTCAGCTGGCAGAAAAGAATTACATTTAAAACTGAAATCAAGGCCTCAATACAAAGATTATCCTGGCTCTTTTCTATCTCTGTGGGCCTAATTGAAATATGTACTCTTATTTTAGACACGCCTCTGTTAAAACAGACCAGGTTTTCCTGGTCTCAGACCTATGATGACTTGTCCCTTTGATGTCACTACTGTGAATTGAATATAATTAGTAAAAATAGACGATGAATAAATAACACTTTATAGTAAGAAAACAATATATTTTGGCCATCTAAAAATGAGAATTATAATTATATGAATTATAATTTAAACTGTTTAATTTTGTTTAATGTGTATATTGAATCTTCCAAATTGAAGCCATTATTCTCAATTAAGTACTACAACTATGACAATGCTTGACCTACATTTCTAAAATAAAAATTCACATTTTTTGATAAATAAACTACAGTTTTACCAGAAATTACTATCTAAATGTGTATTAGCAGTATTTTTTAAGGTGAAATTGCCTTGGTATCTAATGAATGTGTAGACAGGGAGATAAAATGAAGGATTGCCAGACTAGTTAGAATAGAATTTAGGATTAGGTTAGTTTTGAAAAATGATGTTGTAATATATGGGTTCTAACACATCCTACCATAAAAA
Organism: Homo sapiens; assembly: GCF_000001405.40. NCBI lineage: Eukaryota > Metazoa > Chordata > Mammalia > Primates > Hominidae > Homo > Homo sapiens. The sequence continues at coordinate 87,255,102 of NC_000003.12, forward strand.
CTGGAGGAGATATGTGTAACCTGGTTAATTTGGGATGGTGGACATTTTGGGCTAATACTGACAAAATACATCTTAGGACTAGTATACATGTGACACGGATTGCTAGGAGGAATGAAAAACTAAACTGTATAGTTTATATTCCGTAAACCATTTTATAATGTTCAAAGATTAGGTTTTGTTATTGATAGTATTAAATACACAGTTTCTCTTAACAGTGATGGGTGAAAACATTTTACCGGATTATGGAATGTTTACCAGAACATGTTTTGATTCTTGAATGTACATAATAATGCCATCTAACTTATTTACGTTCTTGTTTACATGTGGGAGCTTTTGTTTTCAAAAATTATTTTGTTAAAAAATCTCAATAAAGATTTATTATTGTTGTTCTTTTCTTACCTTTTTTGCTCTTTTTGGTTCCTGCTAAAATTAAAAATTTTATGCATATTTGGTAATTTTTCAAAAGAATGATCTTTATTATTTTCCTAGAAGTACAATTAGATAAACTCTGCTACTTAACATTAAAAAAAAAACTATCTTCTTAAGAAATAATTTGTACTAGACTAATGTTTGTGAATGTAATAAGCCTAAGAATTGGTGGTTTCACATTAATTTGTTCCCAGTATTCTCAGGGATTAAACATTTTTAAGTTTTATTTTTGAATGTATAAGTCCCAGTGACTTATTTCATTTCAGTCAAACATGGATACCACAAAAGAATTTGGACATAAAAGACAGAGAGATCATTCTGATTTGGCTACATTTATAAAGTGTTCTGGTGGTAGTTTTCACAATCACTGTCACTGTGAATTTGTAATGTTATTCTATCCTTTGCTAAAAAGGAAAGTTACTTTTGAGCCCTTAAAGAATAAGAAATAAGGGTTCTTATAGATTGAGCTTAATGAAAACACTGGGTTTTTTTTAACCTGTTTTTTCTAACTTCTTTAGGCACAAAAATAAATATTTAACAATTGTAATCAAATAAGAGGTTGCTGTAATCAAACAAGAGGTTGCCATAGAAAGAATAGAAGAGTATCTCTATGACTGAAAAGGATGCAGCCCAAAGCCACATTTTGTTACCAAATGAAAAAGTTATTTATGGGGGAAATTTCGGAGTACCAGAGAAGTAGAACGTCATACGAAAATGTCAATACTCATGATAACACCTGTTCTTAGAAAACATAAAATGACCATCTGTCAGATGATTATGTTGCACACACTGTACTGTGTGCTCTGAGGGGAGTATCTGGTTATTGCAAGAGCTAATGGGAAGGGGCTCAAGATTGTGACCCTATGGACCAGAGAGAGGAAGCTGTCAGCCTATGGGCTTTATGTTGTTTGACTTGCACAGTGATATATCTTTTACTTTTTGCATTTGAATGCCTTTAGAGAAAACCTGGTACTCTCTTTTCCGCCAAAATGTGCATTTCCTACCATCCTAGTTGCCATACTTCTCACCTGATCTCTGTGGGCCTAATTGAAATATGTACTCTTATTTTAGACACTCCTCTGTTAAAACAGGTGTTTTAACATGTTAAAACAGACCAGGTTTTCCTGGTCTCAAAAGAGACCTGTGATGACTTGTCCCTTTGATGCCATTACTGTGCATGAAAAGGTTTTGGCAACTTCAGAAATACAGATCAACTTTCCAGTTTCCTCTCTGTAGAAGCTGAGGGTTCAAAACCATTCTAAGCTTAGTTGTTTTAGTAGTCAATTGGATTGATGTTGCCTTAGAGGAAGCCTGAAGATTGTGAAGCCTGATTTCAGGTGTCCTACTGTTGGAACACCACATTCCCCCAACAGCTTGAAAATACACCCCCCCCGCCGCCATCCCCAAACACTGAAAATATTTCTCTGACTACACAAATCCTTTCCACCTTTAGAGATGGAAAGGTAAATTGTATGAATGAGTTTATCAGCCACCTTTACTAGGTAAAGTTGAATGTACCAAACTAGTAGAAATGACAAACATCTTTCTTCCATTTTAATGGACAAATCTACTGAATTCCTGAAGACTTAAAGAGTTCACAAATATGTAAGAGGGAAAGACTATGGCTACAGTCAGCCTTTGTCATTTATTCCCCAAAGTATGAACATATCAGTCTACACAGTGAATTGTATGTCATTTGTTTAATTGAGGTTTAGGATTCTAAATGGCATTAACCATTTTCTATTGTTTTGAAGATTAATCAAAATAAAGCATTATTTTAATGTAGTTAGAAAGTAGTCTCAATATAAATGAGTTTTGTATAATACAAAACATTAATACAAATGAGTTACTGGTATTTACTGGCCGGGGAGGCCTCAGGAAACTTACAATCATGGTGGAAGGTACCTCTTTGCAGGGCGGCAGGAGAGAGAATGAGAGCCCAGCTAAGGGGAAAGCCCCTTATAAGACCATCAGATCTCATGAGAACCAACTATTGTAAGAACAGCATGTGGGAAACAGCCCCCCTAATCTTCATCTGGTCCCTCCCACTACACGTGGGGATTATGGGAACTACAATTCAAGATGAGGTTTGGGTGGGGACACAGCCAAACCATATCAGTTAGCAAATAATTGCTATTTCACTGGGCACACTGGTTCATGTCTGTAATTCCAGCACTTTGGGAGGCTGAGGAGGGAGGATCGCTTAGGTCTAGGAGTTCAAGATCAGGCTGGGCAACACAGGGAGACCCTGTCTCTACAAAAATTTTGAACATAGCCAGGCATGGTGGCGTGGCACCTGTAGTCCCAGCTACTTCAGGAGACTGAGGTGGAGAGCCCAAGAGACTGAGGCTGCAGTGAACAATAATCGTGCCACTGTACTCCAGCCTGGGTGACAGAGCAAGATTCTGTCTCAATAATAATAATAATAATAATAATAATAATAATAATTTGCTATTTCATTAGTAAGTATTAACTCAAAATAATTTCTTTTAGGGAAAATACATGGTTCCCAATACTGGTAGTGTCTAAACTTGAAAATAATGACCTTATGGATGGATGTTTGATAATACTACTTATGATCTAAACATATTGATTTAAGCATATATACATGCTTATTTTTGTTACATAAAGTAAGAGTAAACATTACCAGAGGAATCATATTTAAAATGCAAAATAATCACTAATCTAGATTTATATTGCATGACATTTTGTTTCTATTTGCAAGTTTCAAAGTGCATATATACATTTTTGCATATATACGTATACATTTATGTATACATGATCTGGCTTTTAGCAAACTAAAGAATCCCTTCCCCAGTTAATGTGTTTTAAGTAGGCGAAGAAATACTGAGTTATCCAGAGAAGGGGCTTGAATGCCTGTGTGGCTGAATAATTTGGAATTTACTCTTAAATAAGAATGTTGTATTTAATATCTTTTGGATGCTAAATGTGTGCTTAAGCATGGATGATTAGGCCACTGAAAGCTGTTTTGTTAGTTAAATGTCTATCTTTGTTAGTAATATATCAAATTTTACCCATCTAATTGATGGTGATTATGTATGAACATACATATATGATCTATGTAGATTATGACCTGTAAAAATGCTAGGTCTTTAATAATATCATAAAAAGAGACTGGACAGTATAATTTATTTAGTAAGCATTCTAATTCAACAATAAAATTTGGTCTAATTGTTACCACTTTTGTTATATAAAATAAGTTAGATAAACATAGCCAGCAGATTTACATCCAAATGCAAAACAGTCACTATTCTAAGTTAATATCACATTACAGTTTGCTTCTACTAGCATGTTTCAAGGAAATGCATTCTTATAATTTAAATAAATATGTTCTTGTCGATAAAATTCTCAGAATTAAAATCTCAATATGTCAAACTTTTTACAAATAGTAAATCAGATTCTAATCGATTATACCAAAAGTGATCATGTCTTGTTATAGAAACCTGGATGATTTTCTAGATTGTGAGATTTCAAAAACATTATAATTTAAAATTAGGTGACACCATTCACATTTGTAGCCATTGTTAACCTTAAACACTCCTTCATTTAACAAAGATTGCATGCCTAATATGAGCAAGAACTTTCCCAAGCCCTGGAGAGGGAACACCAAACAAGCCAGATCTCTTCCTGTCCTGTTGCAGCTTACAGACTAATGGTTTGAGGCTCAAGAATCCATAAAGCATTATTTTCTACAGCTACACATCAAAAAGCTAATATTTAGGAAGAATAAAAAGATCAAAAATTAATGTTTCTACACATCTCTTTTGAAACAGTTCTATCAGCTATGCCCTAAATTTTAGCTTCAAAGTATCAATTCTGATTGAGGTTTATTCCTAAAGGGAGTAATAAAACTATAAGACACCTCCAGCTCTTAAGTTCAAAACTTTTAGTTCAGACAAATTAGTAGAGTTGGTAGAAAGCAGAACATTGGTTAATTTTTGAATTGGATATTTCTGGTGATGTGCTTTACATATGTGTCATTACTGACTTACATGTTAAAAAGCTAATATACATGTTTGGAAAAGGAACTTATAAACCCATACTCATATGTCTGCGTGTGTGTGAGAAAGAGAGCGGGAGAGACAGAGAGATCATTTTATTACTGTTAATATATTTGGCTTAAAATAGATAATGTGGCTTCTGAGAATAATTATTTTAAGTAAATAACATCAATATAATTTAAATTGTTGGTTTCTTTTTTTTAAAAAAAAGTGGAAAAGTAAAGCTTCTGTAAAAGCTATTGATATAAAATGATTTTAAGTCAACCAAGTAATTTCTGTTTTTGTTGAGGAAGAGAAAGGAATGAAACGGGAGAAAAAGGCTATTATACAATAGAAAAATCTTATCTGCACTCAAGATGTTCCTTAGAAATAGAAAATAAACTCTGATTCAGACTTGTTTTCACCCGTTTTTCTCTCTGCCTCCGGTTGCAAAACCAAACTCTTACTACTTCTTTCTCCAGATTCAGTTCTTCAGCCATCCTCATGATCTCTTGAGAAGAAGGTTTATTCTGTTCTCCAAAGTGTCTCTCCAGAGCATCTTTAGCAGCAATGCTGGCGGGGGGTGGACATAGGGGGTGAAATTTTGTTGTTTTTAGTGAAGTTTTTGGCAGCTCAAAATTAAGGTAGGTTGAATTTCCTCAATATTAACATGAAAAGGAAACTTAAAAACTCTGAACACACTTGCAGGACACTTTAACAAGGACAAATGTATAATGTGTTAAATATGTAGATATTTTGTCTTATGTAAGGTAGAGTTACACGAGAGTCACGGAAAGCATTAAGTAGGGGACCCAGACTTTCTATGTTTTTCCCACTTTGTGCCACCAGAGGGCACTGAGTTCTTGAGAAGAAAATGAACATTTTCCTAGACATTTCTAAATATCTCCCCAAAATCATTTAGGGCTGTTTACGATAAAGGAAATCTCTAGTAAACAACTGACCAACCAAAACAAAACCTGTCTTTTAGTATTTGCTAAGCATGTCTCACAGAAACTACAAAAAGATCAATGAACAATCTTTCTGGGTTGAAATGCAAGAGGTCATGTTGAACTTGAAGAGACCGAAACACTGATTACTAGTGTCACATTTTTAAATACTATAGACACCATGGATACTACATTGTCAGAGCAATAAGTTATAGCTAAAAGGGGAGAAGATATGGCCAGTCTCTTAGAAATGATTGTTTTCTTTCTGTTTGTATTCAAAATTTTGGAGTAAAAGTGTTCTTGAATCAAACAATACATAATTTTCCATCAAATGTTGAAAATTATTAGCTCTCCATTTCTCAAAATTAAGTTATTACATTATTATTATTTTTTTTTTATTTATTTATTTATTTATTTATTTATTTATTTATTTATTTATTTATTTATTTTGAGACGGTGTCTCGCTCTGTCGCCCAAGCTGGAGTGCAGTGGCGCAAGCTCGGATCACTGCAACCTCCGCCTCCCAGGTTCAAGCCATTCTCCTGCCTCAGTCTCCTGAGTAGCTGGGATTATAGGCACCCACCACCATGCCCGGCTAAATTTTGTATTTTTAGTAGAAACAGAGTTTCACCATGTTGGCCAGACTGGTCTCGAGCTCCTGACCTCAGGCCCGCCTTGGCCTCCCAATTCACCTTACATTTATATGTTATGTTACACCTGCATTACACTCAAATGCTCATTCCATTTATAAAATACCAGTTTTGTCCTCTAGTAACTTTTAATATAAAGAATACCTTATAGTTGTTCTTCGTTTTCTTTTCCTTTCATTTGCTCCCACTTTTTCATTGTACAAAGCTATAATGTGGAAAAGAGAGATAATTACAAACACAAAGTAGACTTTTTATAAAAAACGATCTGATTTGGATTTCAAATTTTCTTCATAAAACAATGCAAAATAAAAATGCTAGACATTTTTGTCTTAAATTTTTGCAGTCTTTTTCTATTACAGACCTTAGAGAAAAATCTCAACGCAGAAATAAATATTAACCTTGCAAAGACACTTTCTACAAATAATATCCTCACTTTACTTTTGTTGGAATGCTTGCTGTAAATACTCTCAAACCTCACTCTTTATCAGGCTCTGACATTTGTATGAGTAGATAATTTTAGCTCATTAAGTTGCATATCTAGCAATTGCTTATATTATTTTCTTGGAAGACTGGTGTGTGCAAATGTTTTGTGTACACTAATATTAGGATACAAATGTGATTCATATATAATTTCTCTAGTATAAAAGAGAGGAAAAAAATGGATGTGTAAAAAAATAAGTATTTTACCCCTTCATGCTGATGCCAACAAGCTTTCCTTATATAGGTTATTCTATCCTCAATAAATTTATTTCCACACTTACATTGCCCTTCCTTTTTTGTTGTTTGTTTTAGTGTGATATAACAAAATGTTTATTTTTCATCTCAAAGAGAAAAGGCGGAAAAAAACCCCTCAAACCTCCTGCTTTAGCATTAATCCTACTTATTGAAGCCATTATTTTTAGGTTAAAACACAGCACAGCCTTCAGAGACACAATTTAGTACCTCCTACTTGCTCAGCTTCCTCCAGCCATTTGGATAATATTGCTTTCAGTTTGCATGCATTTTTAAAGCTGAGCTGCAGATTTTCAAATCGGCAGATTGTTGTTTGACTGAATTCAGAGCCATGCACAGCTGCCAGGGCCTCCCCAACATTTGTCTGGGTGTATCCTGTGAAGGGACAATAAAGACCATCAGCTCCAACTTTCCAGGAAATGTTAATTTTGGTTCATTGTCACACAAATCTGTGTATCTTTGTCAACTATTACACACTATTTTTTAACTATATATTCTTGGCAAATCAGAATTATTTAGTAAGATTCATTATACTTTGAAGTACTTGTGCAATACTTCAAAACATATTTCTTCTAGTTAATAAATTACTTTTATCTAGTCACTGAAAGAATTCAGATAGAAACATCTGCCATTCATAATATTTAACCAGTGTTTAGGTGTGTCCTAAACACTTCATAAGGCACTTGAAAATTATGGCTTTTTTATCATTATTGTTAGTTATCAAATAATATATGCTCAAAAAATTTTAATATATTAACTATAATGCATAAAATATACGGTTATATATCATAACATTCTTATTTCAACTCTAAAAGATTCAATGATATTGTTGAAGGGTACTAAATAAAACTAAGAATTATGTCACTTTCCCTAAAACCATATTTATTAAGAGGCTATGATTACACATTTCATGTATACTTCTGAGCCCATTTTATAGTTTTTGATAATGCCTCTGTCTTCAGACTAATGATCCTTATTGTTTGTCGCAAACATTTTTAGAGTACAGCTGAAATAACATATAATTTGAAACATTCACAGTAATATAGATAGAAAACTGAAAATGAATTTCACAAAGATTCCTACTACTGTGCTTATCACATGTAATAGCTACATATTATTTCAGGACCTAAGGCTATATACCTATATGTATAAAATGGTTGCATATGATGCCCATCAATAAATATTCTTATTACATTATCTATTGTTCATTCTGCAAGTGCAGAGGTTTGAACTATTATTTCAATCCATTAAAAAAATACACAATTTTATGCAATTTAACCAAAGTCAATTGTTATAGTTGTTTTATTTTAAAAACACTTCAGTAGAAAATGAGCAAAGGCTCTGAACAGATAGTTCACAGAAAAGGAAATATAAATGATTGTCAAGCATATTAAATAATATACTTTACACTCATAATAAAAGAAATTTTAAATGAAAAAACAGTGAGATGTCACTTTGACCTGTCTGATTTGCAAAGATCTAAAAGATTAACAGCATATTTTTTCTTTCAACCACCATTTATTTATTTTGTGTTATAGTTATACTCTTCTAGATGCTGGAGATATCATTAAGGAGAAAATAAAAAGAAATAGATTTTAAAAACTCATGCCGTTTTGGAGTTTATATAGCCTGAGGATGGTGAAAAAGATTCTCATGGTAGTAGTAAAATTTGGTACAACTTCTCTAGAGACCAGTTTGATAACATCTATCAAAATTACCAGTACACATACTTTTGATCAAGCAATTGTGCTTCTAACATTTTTGCTGCGCATATATTTATATGAGTGCAAAATAACATTTATAGGGTTAATCATCGTGGTATCGTTTTTATCAGCCAAAGATCAGAAACCACCTAAATTTCATCAGTAGAGGACTGGTCAAATAAATTGCAGTATATTCATAAAGTGGAACTTGACAGCCCCACAAAGGAAAAGGAGCTCTAGAAAAATTACTACTGAAAACTTCAAATAATACATATGTTTGGCACAATACATATATTTCCATATATATTTACTTATATATCCATGAGATATCATTGGAAAGATACACAAGGAACTAACAACGATATACAGAAAAAGCAAGCAGAAGGGATACATGTCACTTATACTCTTTTGTACTTTTGAATCATATAAATGTATGGCCTATTCAAAATTTCAAATAAAATATAGATAAAAATGGGCACTTCAAAACTAATGTTGAGGTAAGTTTTGAAAGAGTATTATTAATTTAAAAATTATGTATTTAGGCTCTTAAGAAATTATAAGGAAACAAATGTTTTTGGAGGATTTCCATAACGACTAACTACGTCCACAGTAGAGATGAAGAATGAGAATCATCTTGTACTTTTTAGCAATATATAAGAGATTTAACAGCAATAAAGATTTGCAAACCAAGTTCTTTTTCCTGTTGCCTTTAACAAGCACATACCTAATTTAATTCGTCTCACTTTAAATTCATTGGCAAACTTTTCAAGTTCTCTGATTTCTGGAGAATCCATGTCTATTGGCTCTTCCACCAATTTACTTTTCCGCCTGAGTTCCTGCTTGAAATCAGCAGCTGTGGGGTCCTCTGCCAGAAGAGGCTGGTGTATAGGAGGAAATCCATGACTCAAGGTGTGGTCAGGAAATTTATAAAGACAAGGGGTTAAACTACCTGTGAGTAAACAAAGAAATAAAATGAAAAAGACCATTTGTCATTCTCCTTATTTCTATATAAGAAAGGGTTTTGCCTGACTTAGCCCATTATTCTGCTCTAGCCTGTCTCAGTACTTACAAGGTTACCTTACATTCAGTCTTCCGAAGAAGGAGTCAAAGTAGCTTAGTAGAATTGAGATTATTTGTCTTCTACCTTCTCCAGAGCAGCAAAACCAAAGATAGGGTTAAAGGAAAGAAGCAGGGGACTGCAAATAACTAAAATAGAAACAAACAACTTCTCTCAGAAGCATACATTTTCTATCATGTTTTTCTCTTAAATGACACCTATTCCTGGGAATCTGAGGTTGAACTCTAACCAGAGTCTATGCATTGAACTCTGTTTTCTTAATTCATTGAATAAATAATGGGTGATGTTTGTTGTGATCATGGCACTAAATGCTTCGGCTAAGTGCTATGCTGAGAAGTTTTCTTGTGATTGGGAAATTGATTTCACAATATAAAAACGCCCCACTATTTAATCAGTAAAAACTTGATTTTATTAAGAAATAATCACATCTTTTTTAATTAAATGAAGGTAGGCAGAAAGAGAATGATGAGAATATAAAGTATATTAATATGGCTAAATAGGCTTGAGGAGTGATTAAATATTAACAAAAGGTAACCTTAAAAGTTCTATTAAAAAGTCACTAACAAGATTTCTTGAAAAATATACAATATAATAGAATAATTTCTTGATTATTATTTAAGGAAAAGCAAATATAAGAAGCAAGAAAGTTTGCAACTTTATATATGATAAGTGATTACCGATAAATGGTAAAGCATTGACTCTACTGAGTGGATATGTTAAATCACAAAAAATGTAAAAAGGTCTGAAATTATTACACAATTGCTTCCAGATTTCCTTTTTCATTGGAAGAGTCTATCTCAGTTGGGAAGTATAGGTGAGAGGACAGTATATAAGCCAAATTCCAACACATTTTGTTTCTTGTTTTCTTTATCAATACATTACAATTTTTATCGACAAAGATTCTACTTCAATTTATATTAAATGACATGTCTAGTGTGCCTTCCATATCCATGGGTTCTGCATTCATGGATTGATGCAACCATGAATTAAATACACTTAAAAAATAAAGTAAAAAATAACAACACAAGAATAAAAATGATACAAATAAAAAACCCAATACAGTATAACAATTATTTACATAGCATTTACATTGATTTAGATATTATAAGTAATCTGGAGATGATTTAAGGTAGAAGATGTGCCTAGGTTATATGCAAATACTACACCATTTTATACCAGGGACTTGAGCATCGAAAGATTTTGGTATCCTTGGGGGTCCTGGAACCAATGTGCCACATAGAAGGATGATTGTATAAGCAAGACATTTTTATATAAAAATATTGAGTAATTAATCATTTTCTTATAAATATAAATATTTTAAAATAAATTACTATGGAATACATGCAATAATTATTCTTAGAAACTTACTGGAAAAAAATGCATCAAGAGTTCATGCTACCTATAATTTCTCCACACATACATTCTCAAATCAAAGACATGAGTAATAATATATTTTCCAGAATACAGAAATCTTACATTAATATATCAATATATAATGAGCAAAGAATACCGTAACTCAGCAAATTGTTGGTTTATATTTTTTATATAAAAATATGTAATCATAAATATGTAGTTATTTATTTAATTTAATTTATTTATATAAAATTTATATTTTATATAAATTTAATTTAATGTATTAAATTTTATATAAATTTAATTTAATGTATTATTTATATAAAATATGTAATTATAAATATATAATTATAAATGTGTAATTATAAATATATAATTATAAATTTATATAAAAATATGTAATTATAAATATGTAATTATATCTAATAGGGTATATTATTTTTTCTAAAACAAAGTAAACATACAAATGAGAGATTAAACAAATTAGCATAACATAAATTTATCTGCTCTAAAGCTGGGAAAAGATGTGAAAGAAATTATTTTTGTCTTTAAAAAATTCCTGCTACTTTTACAAACCAAAATTATCCAGGTTTACTTTTGTAAAAGTCAGTTAACTATCCATTTTATGCTTTATTGTGTGGCATCTTGATCAGACAAGAGAACATTTTTAAAAGCAATTTTACCAACTTTTCTTTTATTATATAGCTTTTCTTGAAAATATTTATTGCCGTGGGGTTTATTTTTAGCTTTTTATTAATTTTAATTTTCTGCTAAATTAAAAGAAGGACTAATAGATGTAAAAGAAAATTGATGACATTTATGTTATCATTTATTTAATCTCATATTTATCTGAAGACTTGTTTTGTGCTTATGCTTTCAGAATTGATTCTCACATATATTTATAAAACCTTCACTTCTTTGATTATTTAGGTCCATCAGGTATCACTTAATACATTTAATGATAAAATACCCTGAGAAAGAGTACAAAGAAAAGCCAGGCTACTGTTAGATTTTGTACATTTAACATATTTTAAGACACTTTAGATAACTCATTTAACCTATGTCAAATTATGTTTATTTTATATAAAAAATTTGTGTGTTTTTTACTTACGCATACTAAAAGGTCTAAATTTGTTATCAATTATTATTATTATTTTCAATTTCTCTTGCTGATCATAATTATGTACTGCTACAAATCTTCTATGCAACACTTTGTGTCGTGTTAATTTCACATTTGTTATCATCTTTATCCTTATACAAAAAATGAGTCAGGAAAGATATATATTTTTCCCCATAATTTACAATGGAGGAAATTTAAGTAGAAAGAAAGTAAATAACTTGCCTCCAGTGCCCAACGAATTAACTTTGCAGTTTAAACCAGAACTAAAGTCTAATAAGCATTGCAGTAAGCCACATCAAAATCATTGCCCGGTTCATTCTCCAGGCAGTCTATACTCAGGCAAATTAAATAACTTCTCTTTAAAAGGTTTTCTCTGCATTTAAACACCTTTGGCTATATTAAACAAACACTGTTCCACAAAAATATTACAATAAAATATATATAAAGTGTGTCATCCCTGTTTCCGTAAAATTGTTTATTTGTTTGTTTGCTTATTTATTCTTTATTTTTAGAGATGGGGTCACACTCTGTCTCCTAGACTGGAGTGCAGTGGTAAAATCTTAGCTCATTGCAATCTCAAATTTCTGGCCTCAAGCCATCCTCCCACCTCAGCATCCTAAGTAGAATCTACAGGCATGCACCGCCATGCTCATCTACTTTTTTAAATTTTTTGCACAGACGGGATCTCACTATGTTGCCCAGGCTGGTCTCAAAACTCCTGGCTTCAAGCAATCCTCCAGCCACAGCTTCCTGTAGTGCTAGAATTATAGGTATAAGCCACAGAACCCAGCCACAAAAATTGAAAGGTAGTTTATACATTGTAAGTACTCTGGGAAAGTGGACACGCAGAAAACAAATTTGAATGGAATCCATGAAAAGTACACAGAAAATACCATGCTCCAAGGTTTGGCATCCAGAACAAGAAGGAAAATGTGATGTGTGATACATTTTTTATTTTTTTCCCTTTCCCTTTTTTTTTTTTTTTTTTTTTGACACAGCGTCTCGCTCTTGTTCCCTAGGCTGGAGTGCTCTCGGCTCACTGAAACCTATGCCTCCTAGCTTCAAGCAATTCTCCTGCCTCAGCCTCCCTAGTAGCTGGGACTACAGGTGCCTGCCACCACACCCGGCTAATTTTTATATTTTTTAATTTATTTTTTATTTATAATTTTTTATTTAGAGACAGGGTTTCACCACATTGGCCAGGCTATTCTCGGACTCCTGACCTCAGGTGATCTGCCTGCCTCGGCCTCCTAAAGTGCTGGGATTACAGTTGTGAGCCACTGCACCTGGTTCACTTTCATTTTTCATTGCATGAAAGTATCTACAATTATCTGCAAGGTCACAGATTTCCTGGAACTAACTTCACACAGAATTTCATCACAACAATTTAAAAGAACAGCCAAACGAACCTCTGTTTCTAGCATCTGAGCCTGCATTTGGGGGAGTGTGGAGAGTGATTGGGATGATATGTATAGCAATATGTTTTTCAAATCTTTTTAAAACCCAGATTACTGCAAAAAGTAGGAATAAGATAAAAGATGTTGTGAGTCATGTGTGACAGAGGTCTCATCAACATTTTCTGAAACATGGATAAAGAAAAATTATCTTGAGGCCTGGACAGCACACACACACATAGCTCAGAAGTGTTTGCACACTGTAGTTCCAAATACATTTTCACATTGAAGATTAATTCACCAGAGCCTTTCTAAATTGCTATGTATGCATTTCTGTGTGACAGAGGAGAGAGAAGAACAGAGGTAAATCTTTTAAAGCAGGCAATGGGGGTCAGAGATAGGGATGCCTTACTAGGCGCTGACTCAATGTACCATAGCATGGGGCAAATTGATCTTTGCAGCATGTGGTTAGCTGACAACATCATCTCACGTTACTGGCTTGATGCCTTAAAAAAACAAACAGGGGAAGCAGAGGGACATAGTAAAATACGCCACCCTGCTGTGCTTGTAACATGCACAGGAACATGTATCTGAATATTTCCATATATTCCCCTCTGTTGCTTAGGCATAAAAATTCAAAGGAAATTATAAACTTCCACTGTGATCTTTTCACTCTTGTGCATTGGTAAATCCTATCCGTGTACAACTGGGGCCTATTGCCTGTGTTTGTAAATTAAGTTTAATTTGAAATGCCTATTTCTTTACACACAGGCTGTGACTGCTTTCCTACTACAATGACAGGTTGAATAGTTGCAACAAAAACTAGAAAGGTTGAGATATTTACTGTCTGGTTCTTTACAGAAAAGGGTTGCCAACCCCTAGTCTGGAAGTGAAAATACATCATGTTACTGCTACCAAAAGACCTTTCACGATGTGGAAGCAAAAGATCTTCAGAATTACTTGTTTCCTTAGAGTTGTTACAACCAGAACAATTTAGGGCCAAATAAAACAAAGAACTAAACAAAAGAAGTAAATTAAGAAAAAAAAATTTCAAATTTCAAAAAATGAAAAGATGGGTTCCAAAAATAGACTAGACTATTTCTCCCTGTCAGTTGCCAGGCTGATTTCCGTTTTCTTCTGTATTAGCCCAGGCAGCAAGAATATTTTCAGCCATAACAATCTTTTCTTTTAATATCCACTTCTCATGAAAAAGAATTGGATGCTCATCATCTTGTTTAAGTCCCAAGAGTTTGGGACTTAAACAAGTTTGTTTGTTTTGTTTTGTTTTGTTTTCCCCTTGAAATTAACTTTTAAAGCAAGGACTTTCACACTACTTCTTGGTTTGGCCACTACATCATGTAAAGATGGTGGGTTTAACATTTATTACAGTGAGGTTGATTTGCTGTTTCCACAGGACAGCAGAAAGGGTGAACCCCCATTGAGCTTGTTTCCTGAATTGTACTCTGCTTCAGATACTGGAGAACAGAAACAATCTCAGAAACCCAAGAGTCAGAGTTTTGAGAACTTTTTTTTTGATACTTTGTTTTGTTTTGTGTTTATCTAGGAGAGACTTTGAACAGCATCTGTAATTCTAGGTTTTCTATTATTTGTACTGTAAGGTGTTGATTTGAATTCTCTAAGTTCTCAGGAGTGAAAGGACAGAAGGAATTTAGCTGCAAGAGTACGTGAAGAGAAGGGCAAAAGAGAAATCATTTTGAGCTGACACAAATTTGCTACTACTCAACCCCAGTAGAGTTGTAGTACCCACCACAACGTAGATATGAAGAGATTGGAACTCAGAGGTGTTAATCACTTGAACAATGTTAGTAATTAGTTAATGGCATGGATAATTCATTACTCCCAATTAGTCATTCTCTTTATTTTGCCTGCACCTGGACTATTACGTACAGTGGATTCATCTGATCATTAAAATTCTACCTACCAACCTGACAAAATATTAGTTATAGCTCTTCTTTTCCTGTGAGTTATTAATTTAATGAAATGCTCAAACTAAATGTAAGCATCAGAGTATGAGTAATGAAATAACCATATGAAAATAAAGTAATTTCACATATTTTAGAAATATAGTTCTTCCTGTAGCTTCACTTTTATATAGAGTATGTGACACCGTGTCGTTGTTGTTGTTAAGACACTTCTGTGGATTGTGTGCAAGGGGCTGATTTGATTAATGACTTAAGACTTCTCAGAAAATTCAGATGACATAATAAGGTTTCTATTGTGTACTTTATACATTTGTCTCTTATTTACCTTTTCTCTCTTATTTCTGAATTGCTGTATTTTGTAACTCAATTTATGCAGCTTTACTGGGGATAAAGTCAGGAGAGTTCAGATTCTCTAAGATCTAATCTCTCATGAAGCAAATGCTAATACTGAATTATGTCCCAATATAGACATTCTGACATTTAAAGCATATCACATTTTAACAAAATTTTTGAGAGGGATTTAACAATCCCTCTCAAAAATATTCAAATATCTTTGTGCTTGTGATGGTGAGTTTTTCTTTCAGTCACAGAATATATTTAATCTTAAGACCACAGTGATAGCTCCAGACCTTGGTGTAAGTCTTCTGCTCTTGATGTCACTAAGACAGGGTTTTGAATCATTTTGAAAGGCTCTTCCAGGGGTCTTTACATTTTAATTGAAATGAGGAAGAGGTTCGTGGAAGAGGGTTTGCTGAGTTCATGCTGGAGGAAACTTGTATCAGAAAGACATGAGCTGCCAACACTCTCAATGTGAACATTGGCATATTGGCTCCAGTCCTGGAAGCAGTAAGGGTGTTAGAATTCTGAGGCCAGCTGCAAACTCCCGAGGCCAGTGGTGGCCCTCTCTGATTAGGCAGGGTGGGAGTTGGTAGCAAAAATTATCTGAAGGTATTTGGGCCAGAGATTATTGGCCCCTGCTCTGTGACTGGTTTTAATCTTGGTGCCAACCTCAATCAACTGGCAGGGACTGCCTCTGTGCTGGGTTAAGAGAGAAACTAACAATGTACCTTGGTTCCTGGGAGTTCCTCTAAATGAACTGTAAGGTCTTTCCTCCAGGAAACAGTGGCATGTGTTTGTCATTTCCTGTCTCATAATCAAAATGCTGTAAAGGCCACAGAAAGCAATCCACCCGCACCTCCAGTAGCTAAACGCATTTATTTTACTATTTTATAATGACAGTAGTTCATCATTGAGGAGGGCTATTCTCATTAACCATGAATACTAATTAAGCATGTTGATCATAAATAATCAATTTTCAGAGAGGAAGAAAAAATATGGCTTTAATTCTTAATTTTTAAAAAAAGACGTCAGGATTTACAGGTCATTGTTAAGAACACCAGTCTTCATTTAACCATAAATGTTAGGATACTGGTTTATTCAGAATGTTGCTTGATAGAATGTAGGAGAAGCTCATATTTTTCTGGATTATTATTTTAAAGTTTTAATGTTCTATTTAGTCTTACATGGACAAATTTTGAGATATCAAAGGTTAAACAATTTAATTAAAATTAAACTATTTGCTCCATTTTACTTGAAAATTATAGGAATAAATCAATATTTGTCTGCGGTTTTTTTTTTTTACTGCTTATCTGTATCATAACAAAACACAAGTCAATTAGAAAAGATTTCCCTAATAAGTGATTCCTTTATCCACAGTTTTTCCCTCAGTATCACACACATACACACACACCATGCACACGCACACACACATTTACTCACACAGTTTGTCATCAATAAGAATTCTTTTCCTGCTGTAGTAATAAAGATAAAATATCAAAGAATTTCTTTTCTTTTCTTTTATTATTATTATACTTTAAGTTTTAGGGTACATGTGTACAATGTGCAGGTTAGTTACATATGTATACATGCGCCATGCTGGTGCGCTGCACCCATTAACTTGTCATTTAGCGTTAGGTATATCTCCTAAAGCTATCTTAAAAATAAACCAACAAATGAAAATCCTGCGCATAATAAAACTGTGTACTTTTTAAAAACAATTAAAATCTTATGTGGCCATGCCATGAAATTAAACAAGAATTTTTGATGAATAGATCTCATAAGCCAGATCTACGCATTCCTCAAAAACTGTGCTTCAATGCCTTTATAGAAGGATCAATAAGCAGGTAGCCATAATTGATACAGTCATACTTCACTTACCTATAGGAGAAAAGTATGTAACTTCAATGATTTCAATCTCACTTAAGACTCACTCAGAAGCAATTCAGAAAGGGCTGCTAAAGCCTGAAACAGCTATCACTAAAGCCCCTACCAATCACTCTTAGCTTCAATCAATGTCTTATTTATGTTTATGGACCAAAGGTCCAGAAGAAATATAATGATGAGGGGGGGTGTTCTGTAAACCTGTGCTGTCTGATATGGGAGTCGCTAGCCACATGTGGTTATAGAGCACTTGAAATGTAGCAAGTGCAACTGAGAAACTGAATTTGAAATCTTGTTTTATTTTACCTAGTTTACATTTAAATTTAAATAGCCACACGTGTCTAGTAGCTACTATATTTTTAGTGAAGGTAAGCCTACCAATAGCATCATGTTACAACTAACAGTTTGACGATAGTGAATTTCAATAAAAACCATACAAAGCAAACTCAAGAAGCACAGCAGTTCAGAGATACGTAAGTAGGGAAATTAGGTATAACCCCTATGGTCTCTGTGGGTGTCACAGAGCAGGAAACAAGAAGTGGTGATTTTTAACAGTAATTTTCAAAGTTAAGAAATCAAATTTCATGTCACACTCTGATCACAATTCTTTCAGGCCCAGAAAATCCATCTAAGTGTCCCCAAATTCAATAACATGTAAAAGACAACTTTTCTTACCTGCCATCACTCCATAGGTTGATGGCTGGTTTCCATAATGACAGGAAGGAACAGAATAATGAAGTCCTGTTGCTGTGTTTCCCAACGTTGTCACCGAGAAATGTGTGCACAAACATTTAGGAGTTTGGATCAAAGACAAAATAGATGGGACTGGTAAGAAAATGTATAAGGATTCAAGACACATTCGTTTTATTTCAAAAATACACATTTATGTGGTTCTTAAAGTTACATGCCAATATGTTTTTCTCATTTTGGGTAAGTTCTCTGACGAGTAGGTTAAAACTAGGGGGGATCAAAGTTTGTCTCATGTAACGAGATAATAAATCATCAAAACGGACTTCATTAATTATCCTGTGCTCTGTGCTATGGCTACGAGTGCCCCGTGAAGGGGTGACTGACCAATTTAGACCTTGGCCCTTTGGGAGTTGCAGAATGCTTGTTGGTTCTGTTCAATGCAGACATTGCAACTCGCCGACTAGAAGAATAGTCCTTTAAAATTCTTGTGTTGCATGGTATTATAAAGCAGTCTGTATGAATGAATACAGAAATTCACTCTTGAACAGCGTATTTTTGCTTATTTGTCTAACAAATTTGTTTCATCAAAGTGGAAATGGCAGAGCAAGTAGCCTTTTATTAGATACAATCATAAAAATCTCACTGCATTCAGAGTGCTATTAAAAACCTGTAACAATATATGATCTATTTATTTTGATGTTGAAACCATGAGGTTGTTAGTTGTCTGCATATACACAATTGATACAACCATTCTAATGATAAAGCTGGTCAAAAAATGAGTTCATTCATTGAGTGACTTAATATCCATAAAGCCATAAAGCCGTACATAAACATAACCGTTCATAAATGGTTATATGCTTCAGGAAATCAATGTGTATTTTGGAAGTAAACTGGAATTATTAGACTTTTATCAAGTTTTAAACACAAATCATCAAGTTGATAGGGAGCACAAAATATTGACAATAAAACCAATATTTCCTTATATATTTTATTTTCTCAATTTTTTCCTTCATATTCTGAATATATTGGTTAATTTTCATAAATTAATTTTCTTGAATAAATGAGATATTATAAAGTATGGTTAGAATCCTTTGAGAATACCAATATACAAACTAGTGATTAAAGACATGCCTTTCTTCATAAAGTAAAATAAATTATTTTAAAATAGAGAAAAATCTTTAATTTTTAAAAATCTGTATACATTTTTATTTTATAATTAATAGCTCAAAAGAACTAAAGTCATTTTGCAATATAATGATTACATATAATGCATTACTGTGCATTCCAAAATTAAGCAAATTATCATTAAACATATTTAATACTCAAGTGTTCCCATTAAAGTCAGTGTTTCTATAATAGTTCCTTAGACAATTAGATGTATATGATTCAAATTTCATTAAAAAATTATAAATCAATGCTATTATCATTTAAAACATTTGTAGGTCACTTTTATTAATTATAATTCTTTTTTAATTTTAAGGCTTAAATAATTTTTGCTTTTCAGATTTTAGGAAGTTAAATACAGGATAGGCTAATTTACTAAATAAATTGTTACTTATTTTAAAGTAAATAAATGGCATTTTGAGTATAAAATTAGATTTTACTAGATTATTACCTCGATTCTGAATTGTATTTTCATGCTGGCCAAATTATCTTCAAACACAGAAATAGTGTATTATTCTCATTATTCTCAATCTATAGGATGACCTACTATTTAAAATATGTGATTAGCTATGTGGTAATTGCTTAGATTTATTTATAGCATATATTTTTGATAAAAACTATTGTGTCTTCCAAAAATTATGTTGGAGGATACTTCCTGTATTACCCTTTAAATTAAATTACAGAAATCTTTGGCGGATTCCTGAAATTTAATTTAAAAGGTAATATTGAAAAATCTCTACATTAAATGATTTTACCAAAGTCTAAATATCTGACCTCTAGATTCTTTAAAATCCACCAGAAGATTGGTGCCAAACTTACGCATGTATTTAGAAAATGCTTAATAATAACAAAAGATAGAGCTTAAATCCTTCAAATCAGAATAATGTATCAACTCAAACTTTGATTTCTAAATGTATATAATTTCATTCCTAAATATGAGAAAAATTGCATTTAAAACAAGTGGAAAGTGAATATTATATTGCTATTCAATGGAAGAAATTTACCCAATTCAAGTCTTTCTCCATTTGTAAATCAACTCTAAAACACTTTGTTACTGCATAAAGAATGAACACACTGGCAAAACATATGTATTTGGCTGATTGTGTTGAGCCTGTGAATTCTTAGGTTTAATTTTTGTTCTAAAAAGTTATGTGAGATAAATGTTAAAACTTAGAAGTGAAGTAAGTCTCTTCAGAATGCAATTTTGAGAAAATTTACCTTAGTTAATGGGCTTTAAATGTCATGTTATTTCTTGCTATAATTTCTGTATCTTATGCTAAAATATGTTAATTAAAACTCTATTTTATTCTATGAAATCCATTGTTGTTGATATTCAGATTGTTCTGTTGTGTTTAATATAAGGTTTATAGCTGTTTTTAGATAGTAAATGTAATTTAACAACCGAATAAACCTTTAAGATAAAGAAGTAGCACCTTTTAAATATTGTTATTTTATAATATTCATTTCATTTGCTCCTTATTCTATAAATATTTCCATTAAAAAGGTTTTTAGATTTAAAATGTCCAAGTTCATTCTTTTCTTATGTAGAAAACAGATTTTCTTCCTTACAACAAAGCCAACAGTGATTTTAAATTACTACACTTACTAATATTTCTTTAAAATTTATTTGGCATGTTGGCTTTTTAGATATGCTTAATGCTTACTTCACTTAAGACAAATTAAATTGGAGGGGTAAAATGAAAGATGCAAAGAGATTATTAACTATCAAGATTCAAAGCATTCATTCTGAAATATTTAGGCCCGGTCATATGTAAACTGTCATAGGAGTCAGTACCTGTAGACATCACATTGGTGGCATGGTTGGAGACTGGTAGACACTCGGCAGCACTGTGATGCATTATCAGAGGCAGAGTTGCAGAGGCGTCAGAATTCAGAGGTATAAAGGTATCAGCCGAAGTAAAAGCTTGGCAACTCATTCCCACAAGAGAGTAGAAAAATAAGGAGAACCGCTGCTCCCCAAATCAGAGTTTTATTATATTACTGTCTCAAAGGGCCGATTCAATTCTCACTACCTGCATATATACATCAGGAAGGCTCTGAGGCACCAGGAGGGTGCGCGCTAGTATTTATACTGCAAGGAAATCCCTTTATACATGTTAATAGTCTTTTCCCAGGAGTATTGCTTTATCAATCTGAACCGTCTTCCTTTTTTACCCCAAACATAATCCATGGCAGAGAAGGAAGCTGATTCTGGGGTATAGATGGAGGGGAAGGGAGAAATCTGAAACCTTATTTGACAACTTCAGTAGTTCAGACCTTTTAGAGAGGAATCAACAATTTTGAAAACACGTCCCTCAAAAAAATAATGCCACAATCAATTGAAAAATAGTAGGTATCTTTTTGCTACTAACACAATTGCAAATGTATAAATATGAGATTTTTTTAAACAACTTCTCATTAAATCTGCGATAAAACATGAAACAAAAGAAGTGCATAGTATTATACATAATTTTAAGAAACAATATTTAAGATTATGAGAGAAGCATATAATACTAAACATGAGAAAATATGTTGTCAATTAATGATTCATACTCAAAAATGCACAGCTTTTAAAAACGATGACAACCAATATAAGTTTTACTATATTATAAGTGAAAAATGGAAAAAAATTGGATAAAATGTAGTAATGATAGGTTGGTGCAAAAGTGATTGCATTAATGGCAAGAACCGCAACCACTACTGCACCAAAGTTAAATACAACTAAGATATGGGTAATTGTTATCTTTACCTCGATTTCAATTCACTCAAGAACCCAATATTTAGTAAGCTGTTACTAGATGCTGACAGTATTCTAGGTATTTATACAGTTACGTCATGCAAATCTCACAACATCTATGTGAGTTATGTACCTTGCCATTCTCACTAAGCTAGACTCTGTGCCACAAAGCCTGAGATAACCATGGTAGTTGCTAACTAGATGCAAACTTCTCACACAAAATATATTGACTTTATATGAGAATGAAAAAAATAATATGCTACAGCCAACTATTTCAAAGATAAATAACAGCATCAAAACTTTACAATGATCATGATTTATGAGTATGTAATGAGTAAATAAAATACTATTTATGTATTGTATATTAAGGTAATATAGCAAATAGAAGTAAGCGAACAGGAATAGATATTATTGATGTGAGTAGACACTAATTTTGTACTACGGAATGTTTTAAGATAATTTGGAATTGGTTGCTTTGTATCAAATTTCATGTTAATATTGATAAGACATTTTCAAAAACTTGAACACTTTGTCAGTAAGCAGCTGATATTTTGAAGGAAAATATGTAAAAGCTTGCCTAAATCATTAGATATGGAATGAAAATATTTATTCTAAAAATGACATATTTTTTCATTCTGAATTCTATATCTTTGAAGCTTTATTAGTCTTTTCTAATGAGAGAAAGTTTCAAGTAATCAAAAGCATTATTATACCCTTGCAGAATTCTGATCATTTTCAGACTTCACATATACAAAAAGGTGATTTTCAGTATGTCTATTTGGAGTTTCTGTTAAGAAAATTAAATAAAAGTGTGTTTATTGGGTATCATGTATGTTAAAAATTAAGCTAAATGATATTTATAGAAAATGTAATTTGAAAATGTCCCTTAATAATTTTACTATTGTTATATAAAGTCATTGGAATATGTTGGTAAAGTATGTGAAAAATATACTTTATGAAGTATACTGAAGATACTTTATGAAGTACCATAAAACCTGCCTAGCAAACAATATAAAATTTTCCCAGTTATTTACCATGATATCTAAAAAGTTTTAAATTGCAATCGTAGAATTTCTTCCATAATCATTTTTAAAAATTAAACACCTGTTCTGTTAAAATGAGGTAAAGCCAGGAAATAAATGTTTCCATTACAGTCTTCTACGATACAATATATCTATAGGATTATCTGGAATGTACCCCTTTAAGATAGATTCTTAGAAGTAGAATTACTAAGCTTAAGTCTTACAAACTTTTAACATCTTGAAAACATTACTAACTTGCATTTTCAAATAATTAATTATATTATGATTTTGATGTAAAATATCAGGAGTAAGTCAAGCAAAAAGAATTGTTTATTATCAGGAGACACAGGAGTTTCTTGGCACTCACAGAAAAGAAGGAAGTCAGGCCATAGAGACAGACTGAATAGAAAATGAGGGCACACCTCTCTGACTCTCCTACCTGCTTTTTTTTTTTTTTTTTGTCTCAAACTTTTTTCCTTCTCTATAGAACAGCCTAGGCTGATTCTCCATCCATGTTCACCTCAAAAATCTCTAGATCATGCCTTAAACTTTCAAGGAGGCAAACAGACTATCTTGTAGCTTCTCAGTCGACATTTATGATAATTTTTTTTTTTTTTTTGGGGAGTCTCACTCTGTCACCCAGGCTGGAGTGCAATGGCGTGATCTTGGCTCACTGCAAACTCTGCCTCCCATGTTCAAGAGATTCTTCTGCCTCAGCCTTCCAAGTAGCTGGGATTACAGGCGCTTGCCACCATACCTGGCTAATTTTTGTATTTTTTGTACAGATGGGATTTCACCATGTTGGCCAGGCTGGTCTCGAACTCCTGACCTCAAAAGATCCACCCGCCTCGGCCTCCCAAAGTGCTAGGATTACAGATGTGAGCCATGCGCTGGGCCGAGAGAAATACTCTTATTGGCTATAACTTTTTGGTAAGTTCCAGAAGTATAAAGATGGTTCCCAGTGGTCCACACTTATGAATGGGTAGGATAGTCCTGGATACATTCAGATGTTTGTAGACAAGGAGGGATAGAACATTGTCTTGGAAGACACCCTTAAAATATGACTGATGCTCTTATACCATCTTACACTAGCATTAGTGGTGTAAAATCCACAATTGTCTGGCATTCTCATTGTTAGTAATAATGTGTAAATATATATGCCTTATTAATCTGATAGGATAATATTTTAATATTTTAATCTGCATTTTTGATTGCTGATATGCTCTGTTTTCAGGTTTATATTTGCTATCTGTATTTATCGTTTTGTTAATTAACAGATTCTATATTTTATCCTTTTATTTAAAGGCCATTCAATTTTATTATCCATTTGTGTCTTTTACAAATACACTGAAAATTTTAATTTTCATTGCTCTGATCATTGTATGATTAAAATTTTCTTAATGTCTCATCTTTTAAATTTATGCTGGACCTTGGTATACATAGTATTTTATGTAAGAGCTAAACATGTGGTTCATTTTTTGCATGCATTTTTAATGATTTCAGACTTTAAAATTTGACCTTATCCAAAGGCTTATTTATTTATTTTTACTTTTGTTTTGTTATTTTGGCACCTTAAGAAATTTTCTATTGACATTTTAAGCTGCCATATTCTGTATGTTTCTAGAGCTCATTTATAATCACTTAGATAATAATGAAAATTGTAGCTCAATTTGAAAACTACCAGATAAATAAGAAGAAAATTCTACTTCAATCTAAGATGATAAAAGAAAATATGCAGAAAAGAAGTCTTCGCCAGGTGTTTTTAGCCTGATTTATTCACCGTATTTCCTCTTAAATTAAGCAAAGGATTGATTTTTTTAAATACTCTGAGTTTCAAAAAAAACCACATCTTGAGAAAAATATATATAACCCCAGAAAAAATCCTGTCATACTAATATAAAGACACATGCACATGTATGTTTATTGCAGTACTATTCACAATAGCAAAGACTTGGAACCAACCCAAATGCCCACCAATGATAGACTGGATTAAGAATAAGTGGCACATATACACCATGGAATACTATCCAGCCGTAAAAAAGAATGAGTTGATGTCCTTTGCAGGGATATGGATGAAGCTGGAAACCCATCGTTCTCAGCAAACTAACGCAGGAACAGAAAACCAAAGACCGCATGCTCTCACTCCTAAGTGGGAGCTGAACAATGAGAACACATGGACACAGGGAGGGAAACCTCATATACCGGGGCCTGTCTGGGAGTGGGGGCTAGTGGAGGGATAGCATTAGAAGAAATATCTAATGTAGATGACGGGTTGATGGGTGCGGCAAACCACCATAGTAGGTGTATACCTATTTAACAAACCTGCACGTTCTGCACATGTATCCCAGAACTTAAAGTATAATTTTAAAAAAATAGCTGGGCGCGGTGGCTCATGCCTGTAATCCCAGCACTTTGGGAGACCGAGGCGGGCGGATCACCTGAGGTCAGGAGATCGAGACCAGCCTGGCCAGCATGACAAAACCCCGTCTCTACTAAAAATTCAAAAATTAGCCAGGCGTGGTGGCGGGCTGTAATTCCAGCTGCTTGGGAGGCTGAGGCCTGGAGAATCGCTTGAACTCGGGAGGCGGAGGTTGCAGTGAGCCGAGGTGGCGCCCTTGCACTCCAGCCTGGGCGACAGAGCAAGACTCTGTCTCAAAAAAAAAAAAAAGAAAAAAAGAAAAGAGAAAAATATGTAACCCCAGAGAAAAATTCTATTAAGAATTAATATTCAAATCTAATTATCTCTGGGTTATATATAAAATTAAAACCTCTTTTCCTCTATTTTTCATATTTATGTTTTCTAATTTTTCTACTTTTTTTTTGTGAGTTCAGAAGCAGTATATATATTCAGCATGGAGATAGATTCTGTAATTAAACTGTCTGGCTATAAACCCAAGCTTTATACCTTAGTGGCTATACATTGATGGACAAGTAATTTTACCCTTTAGTGTTTTGGGTTATTTTATCTGTAATATGGAGATAATAGTAATATTAAACCCACTTACAACAATACTTGGCATGTAATAAGCTTTCAATAAATGTTAGCAATTACTAATTGCAAAACTTTTTAACTATTGTTTATGCATAGTTAGTCTATGTGCTTTATATGTATTATCTCATTTTATTTTCACATTAACCTAGTGATATAGGCACTAGTTTACTGACTGGGAAACTGAGATAAATTCTTACCAAAGGTCATTCAGTAAGTGGTGAAGCTGGTGTAGTAATATAAGCCACTTAAAGCCTGAGCAAGCTACCTAATACTGTCCTCTATTATATAAGGAAAATCTATATAGATATTGATATTTGTCTAAGTCTAGTTCTGTATCTCATCTGTGTATCTTCATATGTAGACTTTTTGTTTGTCACATAGATTCAGAGAGAAAACATGGAAAGAAAGCTGATTCTCAATGACGTGATGATCTTTTCAACTGTATCTCTGTACAATCCTGTATTAGTATTGCGCTATAGTACATGAATGATATGGGCATTATTCCTTGCAGAGCAATAGACTGGAAATGCTGAATAACCCCATTCAATAATGTGTTCAATTGATGCTAATAATTGTTATTTCCACCAACTTGCAATTCAAATTACTTTGAACTGATTACAAGTTGTGGATAATTCATACACACACACACACACGCACACACACATATGATATAAAGACAAAGGAATTAAGATGGGGGCTTCCATTACAATAAGAAAGTGAAAATGAATCTAAATTAATTTATTCAGTTAGCTTAAGTGGCAGTAAAATGTTGTATTTCCACAACTCATAACCTTTGAAAAGATGATAAGTTTTACTCAAAGTAGTTTATTAAGAAAAGGTTACTCAGCCATATGGTTTAAAAAGGGACTCTGCCACACTGGAAGCAGACATTATTTAAGGCACATATCAGTCATGCATGCCATGTTGGGCTCTTTATTGATAGTGAAAACAACAATGAATGTACACATTATGTAGATCGCCCTTGCTTAAATTAGTTTATATACAGAAATCAAGGTTCTTTATTGCCCAAGGAAGAGATAATGTTGACGGTTTGCAACCTTGCTGAAGATGAATGCTCTCTTAATGCTGTCTAAAGGGTAAACTTGTAACTTATGGCAAATAAATGTCAAGGTGAGACGCTGACTTAGAAATGATGCTCGCCCATAAGGGCTATCTCTCTGTTGTACTATAGCTCAGGGGTAGATTTATCATTTGTCTCACTTAAATAGATCCATCCTTGTCCAAACAATATACCACTGTGTCTGAGTTAATTTAGTTGGAAAATCTCTTTGCTCTGAATTTTCTTAGACCACATTAATAGATAATGCATAGAGGTACATTTTAGAGTGTGTAAATCTTTCACAAGAGATATGTTTGCTATTGCACTTGAATAAGAAGTCAGATTTTCATTCCTTATGCCCATGGTGTAAATAAAAGAAAAAATGATTAGC